>NC_000013.11:17182173-17416384 GCF_000001405.40 Homo sapiens
GCTGGAAAGAAGCATTCTGTGAAACTTGTTTGTGATGTGTGTACTCAACTAACAGAGTTGAACCTTTCTTTTTACAGAGCAGTTTTGAAATACTCTTTTTGTAGAATCTGCGAGGGGATATTTGGATAGATTTCAGGATTTCGTTGGAAACGGGAATATCTTCATATAAAATCTCGACAGAAGCATTCTCAGAAACTTCTTTGTGATATGTGCATTCAAGTTACAGAGTTGAATATTCCCTTTCACAGAGTAGGTTTGAAACACTCTTTTTGTAGTATCTGGAAGTGGACATTTGGAGCGCCTTGACGCCTACGGTGAAAAGGGAAATATCTTCTCATAAAAAGTAGACAGAAGCAATCTCAGAATCTTCTTTGGGATATATGCACGCAGCTAACAGAGTTGAACCTTTCTATTGACAGAGCAGTTTTGAAACAGTCTTTCTGTGGAATCTGCAAGTGGATATTGGGAATGCTTGGAGGATTTCGTTGGAAACGGGATTACGTATAAAAAGTAGACAGCAGCATCCTCCGAAACTTCTTTGTGATGTGTGCATTCAAGTCACAGAGTTGAACATTCCCTTTCGTACAGCAGTTTGGAAACACTCTTTCTGTAGTATCTGGAAGTGAACATTAGGACAGCTTTCAGGTCTATGGTGAGAAAGGAAATATCTTCAAATAAAAACTAGACAGAAGCATTCTCATAAACTTGTTTGTGATGTGTGAACTCAGCTAACAGAGGTGGATCTTTCCTTTGATAGAGCAGTTCTGAAAAACACTTTTTGTTGAATCTGCAAGTGGACATCTGGATAGATTTGAAGATTTCGTTGGAAACGGGAATATCTTCATATCAAATCTAGACAGAAGCATTCTCAGAAACGTCTTTGTGATGTTTGCATTCAACTCATAGAGTTGAACATTCCCTTTCAGAGAGCAGCTTTGAAGCACTCTTTTTGTAGCATGTGCAAGTGGATATTTGGAGCGCTCTGAGGCCTACGGTGAAAAAGCAAATATCTTCCCATAACCACTAGACAGAAACATTCTCAGAAACTCCTTTATGACGTGTGCACTCACCTAACAGAGAAGAACCTTCCTTTTGACAGAGCAGTTTTGATACACTCTTTTTGTAGAATCTGCAAGTGGATATTTGGATAGCTGTGAAGATTTCGTTGGAAACTGGAATATCTTCCTATAAAATCTAGACAGAAGCATTCTCAGAAACTGCTCTGTGATGTCTGCATTCAAGTCACAGAGTTGAACATTGCCTTTCATAGAGCAGGTTTGAAACGCTCTTTTTGTAGTATAGGGAAGTGGATGTTTCGGACGGTTGGAGGCCCATGGTGATAAAGGGAATATCTTCCCCTGCAAGCTAGAAAGAAGCATTGTGTGAAACTTGTTTGTGATGTGTGTACTCAACTAACAGAGTTGAACCTTTCTTTTCACAGAGCAGTTTTGAAACACTCTTTTTGTAGAATCTGCGAGGGGATATTTGGATAGATTTCAGGATTTCGTTGGAAACGGGAATATCTTCATATAAAATCTCGACAGAAGCATTCTCAGAAACTTCTTTGTGATATGTGCATTCAAGTCACAGAGTTGAATATTCCCTTTCACAGAGTAGGTTTGAAACACTCTTTTTGTAGTATCTGGAAGTGGACATTTGGAGCGCCTTGACGCCTACGGTGAAAAGGGAAATATCTTCCCATAAAAACTAGACAGCAGCAATCTCAGAATCTTCTTTGGGATATATGCACGCAGCTAACAGAGTTGAACCTTTCTATTGACAGAGCAGTTTTGAAACAGTCTTTCTGTGGAATCTGCAAGTGGATATTTGGATAGCTTGGAGGATTTCGTTGGAAACGGGATTACGTATAAAAAGTAGAGAGCAGCATCCTCAGAAACTTCTTTGTGATGTGTGCATTCAAGTCACAGAGTTGAACATTCCCTTTCGTACAGCAGTTTTGAAACACTCTTTCTGTAGTATCTGGAAGTGAACATTAGGACAGCTTTCAGGTCTTTGGTGAGAAAGGAAATATCTTCAAATAAAAACTAGACAGAAGCATACTCATAAACTTGTTTGTGATGTGTGAACTCAGCTAACAGAGGTGGATCTTTCTTTTGATAGAGCAGTTCTGAAAAACACTTTTTGTTGAATCTGCAAGTGGACATTTGGATAGATTTGAAGATTTCGTTGGAAACGGGAATATCTTCATATCAAATCTAGACAGAAGCATTCTCAGAAACGTCTTTGAGATGTTTGCATTCAACTCATAGAGTTGAACATTCCGTTTCAGAGAGCAGCTTTGAAGCACTCTTTTTGTACTATGTGCAAGTGGATATTTGGAGCGCTCTGAGGCCTACGGTGAAAAAGCAAATATCTTCCCATAACCACTAGACAGAAACATTCTCAGAAATTCCTTTATGACGTATGCACTCACCTAAAAGAGAAGAACCTTCCTTTTGACAGAGCAGTTTTGATACACTCTTTTTGTAGAATCTGCAAGTGGATATTTGGATAGCTGTGAAGATTTCGTTGGAAACGGGAATATCTTCCTATAAAATCTAGACAGAAGCATTCTCAGAAACTGCTCTGTGATGTCTGCATTCAAGTCACAGAGTTGAACATTGCCTTTCCTAGAGCAGGTTTGAAACGCTCTTTTTGTAGTATATGGAAGTGGACGTTTCGGACGGTTTGAGGCCCATGGTGACAAAGGGAATATCTTCCCCTACAAGCTAGAAAGAAGCATTCTGTGAAACTTGTTTGTGATGTGTGTACTCAACTAAGAGAGTTGAACCTTTCTTTTCACAGAGCAGTTTTGAAACACTCTTTTTGTAGAATCTGCGAGGGGATATTTGGATAGATTTCAGGATTTCGTTGGAAACGGGAATATCTTCATATAAAATCTCGACAGAAGCATTCTCAGAAACTTCTTTGTGATATGTGCATTCAAGTCACAGAGATGAATATTCCCTTTCACAGAGTAGGTTTGAAACACTCTTTTTGTAGTATCTGGAAGTGGACATTTGGAGCGCCTTGACGCCTACGGTGAAAAGGGAAATATCTTCCCATAAAAACTAGACAGAAGCAATCTCAGAATTTTCTTTGGGATATATGCACATAGCTAACAGAGTTGAACCTTTCTTTTTACAGAGCAGTTTTGAAACACTCTTTTTGTAGAATCTGCAAGTGGATATTTGGATAGCTTGGAGGATTTCGTTGGAAACGGGATTACGTATAAAAAATAGACGGCAGCATCCTCAGAAACTTCTTTGTGATGTGGGCATTCAAGTCACAGAGTTGAACATTCCCTTTCGTACAGCAGTTTTGAAACACTCTTTCTGTAGTATCTGGAAGTGAACATTAGGACAGCTTTCAGGTCTATGGTGAGAAAGGAAATACCTTCAAATAAAAACTAGACAGAAGCATTCTCATAAACTTGTTTGTGATGTGTTAACTCAGCTAAGAGACGTGGATCTTTCTTTTGATAGAGCAGTTCTGAAAAACACATTTTGTTGAATCTGCAAGTGGACATTTGGATAGATTTGAAGATTTCGTTGGAAACGGGAATATCTTCATATCAAATCTAGACAGAAGCATTCTCAGAAACGTCTTTGTGATGTTTGCATTCAACTCATAGAGTTGAACATTCCGCTTCAGAGAGCAGCTTTGAGGCACTCTTTTTGTAGTATGTGCAAGTGGATATTTGGAGCGCTCTGAGGCCTACGGTGAAAAAGCAAATATCTTCCCATAACCACTAGACAGAAACATTCTCAGAAACTGCTTTATGACGTATGCACTCACCTAACAGAGAAGAACCTTCCTTTTGACAGAGCAGTTTTGATACACTCTTTTTGTAGAATCTGCAAGTGGATATTGGGATAGCTGTGAAGATTTCGTTGGAAACGGGAATATCTTCCTATAAAATCTAGACAGAAGCATTCTCAGAAACTGCTCTGTGATGTCTGCATTCAAGTCACAGAGTTGAACATTGCCTTTCATAGAGCAGGTTTGGAATGCTCTTTTTGTAGTATATGGAAGTGGACGTTTCAGACGGTTTGAGGCCCATGGTGATAAAGGGAATATCTTCCCCTACAAGCTAGAAAGAAGCATTCTGTGAAACTTGTTTGTGATGTGTGTACTCAACTAACAGAGTTGAACCTTTCTTTTTACAGAGCAGTTTTGAAACACTCTTTTTGTAGAATCTGCGTGGGGATATTTGGATAGATATCAGGATTTCCTTGGAAACGGGAATATCTTCTTTTAAAATCTCGGCAGAAGCATTCTCAGAAACTTCTTTGTGATATCTGCATTCAAGTCACAGAGTTGAATATTCCCTTTCACAGAGTAGGTTTGAAATACTCTTTTTGTAGTATCTGGAAGTGGACATTTGGAGCGCCTTGACACCTAAAGTGAAAAGGTAAATATCTTCCCATAAAAACTAGACAGAAGCAATCTCAGAATATTCTTTGGGATATATGCACGCAGCTAACAGAGTTAAACCTTTCTATTGACAGAGCAGTTTTGAAACAGTCTTTCTGTGGAATCTGCAAGTGGATATTTGGATAGCTTGGAGGATTTCGTTGGAAACGGGATTACGCATAAAAAGTAGACAGCAGCATCCTCAGAAACTTCTTTGTGATGTGTGCATTCAAGTCACAGAGTTGAACATTCCCTTTCGTACAGCAGTTTTGAAACACTCTTTCTGTAGTATCTGGAAGTGAACATTAGGACAGCTTTCATCTCTATGGTGAGAAAGGAAATATCTTCAAATAAAAACTAGACAGAAGCATTCTCATAAACTTGTTTGTGATGTGTGAACTCAGCTAACAGAGGTGGATCTTTCTTTTCATAGAGCAGTTCTGAAAAACACCTTTTGTTGAATCTGCAAGTGGACATTTGGATAGATTTGAAGATTTCGTTGGAAACGGGAATATCTTCATATCAAATCTAGACAGAAGCATTCTCAGAAACGTCTTTGTGATGTTTGCATTCAACTCATAGATTTGAACATTCCCTTTCAGAGAGCAGCTTTGAAGCACTCTTTTTGTAGTATGTGCAAGGGGATATTTGGAGCTCTCTGAGGCCTAAGGTGAAAAAGCAAATATCTTCCCATAACCACTAGACAGAAACATTCTCAGAAACTTCTTTATGACGTATGTACTCAACTAGCAGAGAAGAACTTTCCTTTTGACAGAGCACTTTTGATACATTCTTTTTGTAGTATCTGCAAGTGGATATTTGGATAGCTGTGAAGATTTCGTTGGAAACGGCAATATCTTCCTATAAAGTCTGGACAGAAGCATTCTCAGAAACTGCTCTGTGGTGTCTGCATTCAAGTCACAGAGTTGAACATTGCCTTTCATAGAGCAGGTTTGAAACGCTCTTTTTGTAGTATATGGAAGTGGATGTTTCGGACGGTTGGAGGCCCATGGTGATAAAGGGAATATCTTCCCCTACAAGCTAGAAAGAAGCATTCTGTGAAACTTGTTTGTGATGTGTGTACTCAACTAACGGAGTTGAACCTTTCTTTTTACAGAGCAGTTTTGAAACACTCTTTTTGTAGAATCTGCGAGGGGATATTTGGATAGATTTCAGGATTTCGTTGGAAACGGGAATATCTTCATAGAAAATACTCGACAGAAGCATTCTCAGAAGCTTCTTTGTGATATGTGCATTCAAGTCACAGAGTTGAATATTCCCTTTCACAGAGTAGGTTTGAAACATTCTTTTTGTAGTATCTGGAAGTGGACATTTGGAGCACCTTGACGCCTACGGTGAAAAGGGAAATATCTTCTCATGAAAAGTAGACAGAAGCAATCTCAGAATCCTCTTTGGGATACATGCACCCAGCTAAGAGAGTTGAACCTTTCTATTGACCGAGCAGTTTTGAAACAGTCTTTCTGTGGAATCTGCAAGTGGATATTTGGATAGCTTGGAGGATTTCGTTGGAAACAGGATCACGTATAAAAAGTAGACAGCAGCATCCTCAGAAACTTCTTTGTGATGTGTGCATTCAAGTCACAGAGTTGAACATCACCTTTCGTACAGCAGTTTTGAAACACTCATTCTGTAGTATCTGGAAGTGAACATTGGGATAGCTTTCAGGTCTATGGTGAGAAAGGAAATATCTTCAAATAAAAACTAGACAGAAGCATTTTCATAAACTTGTTTGTGATGTGTGAACTCAGCTAACAGAGGTGGATCTTTCTTTTGATAGAGCAGTTCTGAAAAACACTTTTTGTTGAATCTGCAAGTGGACATTTGGATAGATTTGAAGATTTCGTTGGAAACGGGGATATCTTCATATCAAATACTAGACAGAAGCATTCTCGGAAACGTCTTTGTGATGTTTGCATTCAACTCATAGAGTTGAACATTCCGTTTCAGAGAGCAGCTTTGAGGCACTCATTTTGTAGTATGTGCAAGTGGATATCTGGAGCGCTCTGAGGCCTTCGGTGAAAAAGCAAATATCTTCCCATAACCACCAGAAAGAAACATTCTCAGAAACTCCTTTATGACGTATGCACTCACCTAACAGAGAAGAACCTTCCTTTGGACAGAGCAGTTTTGATACATACTTTTTGTAGAATCTGAAAGTGGATATTTGGATAGCTGTGAAGATTTCGTTGGAAACGGGAATATCTTCCTATAAAATCTAGACAGAAGCATTCTCAGAAAGTGCTCTGTGATGTCTGCATTCAAGTTACAGAGTTGAACATTGCCTTTCATAGAGCAGGTTTGAAACACTCTTTTTGTAGTATATGGAAGTGGACGTTTCGGACGGTTTGAGGCCCATGGTGATAAAGGGAATATCTTCTCCTACAAGCTAGAAAGAAGCATTGTGTGAAACTTGTTTGTGATGTGTGTACTCAACTAACAGAGTTGAACCTTTCTTTTCACAGAGCAGTTTTGAAACACTCTTTTTGTAGAATCTGCGAGGGGATATTTGGATAGATTTCAGCATTTCGTTGGAAACGGGAATATCTTCATATAAAATCTCGACAGAAGCATTCTCAGAAACTTCTTTGTGATATCTGCATTCAAGTCACAGAGTTGAATATTCCCTTTCACAGAGTAGGTTTGAAACACTCTTTTTGTAGTATCTGGAAGTGGACATTTGGAGCGCCTTGACGTCTACGGTGAAAAGGGAAATATCTTCCCATAAAAACTAGACAGAAGCAATCTCAGAATCTTCTTTGGGATATATGCACGCAGTTAACAGAGTTGAAACTTTCTATTGACAGAGCAGTTTTGAAACAGTCTTTCTGTGGAATCTGCAAGTGGATATTTGGATAGCTTGGAGGATTTCGTTGGAAACGGGATTACGTATAAAAAGTAGACAGCAGCATCCTCAGGAAACTTCTTTGTGATGTGTGCATTCAAGTCACAGAAGTTGAACATTCCCTTTCGTACAGCAGTTTTGAAATACTCTTTCTGTAGTAACTGGAAGTGAACATTAGGACAGCTTTCAGGTCTATGGTGAGAAAGGAAATATCTTCAAATAAAAACTAGACAGAAGCATTCTCATAAACTTGTTTGTGATGTGTGAACTCAGCTAACAGAGGTGGATCTTTCTTTTGATAGAGCAGTTCTGAAAAACACTTTTTGTTGAATCTGCAAGTGGACATTTGGATAGATTTGAAGATTTCGTTGGAAACGGGAATAACTTCATATCAAATCTAGACAGAAGCATTCTCAGAAACGTCTTTGTGATGTTTGCATTCAACTCATAGAGTTGAACATTCCGTTTCAGAGAGCAGCTTTGAAGCACTCTTTTTGTAGTATGTGCAAGTGGATATTTGGAGCGCTGTGAGGCCTACGGTGAAAAAGCAAATATCTTCCCATAACCACTAGACAGAAACATTCTCAGAAACTCCTTTATGACGTATGCACTCACCTAACAGAGAAGAACCTTCCTTTTGACAGAGCAGTTTTGATACACTCTTTTTGTAGAATCTGCAAGTGGATATTTGGATAGCTGTGAAGATTTCGTCGGAAACGGGAATATCTTCCCATAAAATCTAGACAGAAGCATTCTCAGAAACTGCTCTGTGATGTCTGCATTCAAGTCACAGAGTTGAACATTGCCTTTCATAGAGCAGGTTTGAAACGCTCTTTTTGTAGTATATGGAAGTGGACGTTTCAGACGGTTTGCGGCCCATGGTGTTAAAGGGAATATCTTCCCCTACAAGCTAGAAAGAAGCATTCTGTGAAACTTGTTTGTGATGTGTGTACTCAACTAAGAGAGTTGAACCTTTCTTTTTACAGAGCAGTTTTGAAACACACTTTTTGTAGAATCTGCGAGGGGATATTTGGATAGATTTCAGGATTTCGTTGGAAACGGGAATATCTTCATTTAAAATCTCGACAGAAGCATTCTCAGAAACTTCTTTGTGATATCTGCATTCAAGTCACAGAGGTGAATATTCCCTTTCACAGAGTAGGTTTGAAACACTCTTTTTGTAGTATCTGGAAGTGGACATTTGGAGCGCCTTGACGCCTACGGTGAAAAGGGAAATATCTTCCCATAAAAACTAGACAGAAGCAATCTCAGAATCTTCTTTGGGATATATGCACGCAGCTAACAGAGTTGAACCTTTCTATTGACAGAGCAGTTTTGAAACAGTCTTTCTGTGGAATCTGCAAGTGGATATTTGGATAGATTGGAGGATTTCGTTGGAAACGGGATTACGTATCAAAAGTAGACAGCAGCATGCTCAGAAACTTCTTTGTGATGTGTGCATTCAAGTCACAGAGTTGAACATTCCCTTTCGTACAGCAGTTTTGAAACACTCTTTCTGTAGTATCTGGAAGTGAACATTAGGACAGCTTTCAGGTCTATGGTGAGAAAGGAAATATCTTCAAATAAAAACTAGACAGAAGCATTCTCAAAAACTTGTTTGTGATGTGTGAACTCAGCTAACAGAGGTGGATCTTTCTTTTGATAGAGCAGTTCTGAAAAACACGTTTTGTTGAATCTGCAAGTGGACATTTGGATAGATTTGAAGATTTCGTTGGAAACGGGAATATCGTCATATCAAATCTAGAAAGAAGCATTCTCAGAAACGTCTTTGTGATGTTTGCATTCAACTCATAGAGTTGAACATTCCCTTTCAGAGAGCAGATTTGAAGCACTCTTTTTGTAGTATGTGCAAGGGGATATATGGAGCGCTCTGAGGCCTAAGGTGAAAAAGCAAATATCTTCCCATAACCACTAGACAGAAACATTCTCAGAAACTCCTTTATGACGTATGTACTCAACTAACAGAGGAGAACCTTCCTTTTGACAGAGCAGTTTTGATACACTCTTTTTGTAGAATCTGCAAGTGGATATTTGGATAGCTTGGAAGATTTCGTTGGAAAAGGGAATATCTTCCTATAAAACCTAGACAGAAGCATTCTCAGAAACTGCTCTGTGATGTCTGCATTCAAGTCACAGAGTTGAACATTGCCTTTCATAGAGCAGGTTTGAAACGCTCTTTTTGTAGTATATGGAAGTGGATGTTTCGGACGCTTGGAGGCCCATGGTGATAAAGGGAATATCTTCCCCTACAAGCTAGAAAGAAGCATTCTGTGAAACTTGTTTGTGATGTGTGTACTCAACTAACAGAGTTGAACCTTTCTTTTTACAGAGCAGTTTTGAAACACCCTTTTTGTAGAATCTGCGAGGGGATATTTGGATAGATTTCAGGATTTCGTTGGAAACGGGAATATCTTCATATAAAATCTCGACAGAAGCATTCTCAGAAACTTCTTTGTGATATGTGCATTCAAGTCACAGAGTTGAATATTCCCTTTCACAGACTAGGTTTGAAAAACCCTTTTTGTAGTAGTCTGGAAGTGGACATTTGGAGCGCCTTGACGCCTACGGTGAAAAGGGAAATATCTTCTCATAAAAAGTAGACAGAAGCAATCTCAGAATCTTCTTTGGGATATATGCACGCAGCTAACAGAGTTGAACCTTTCTATTGACAGAGCAGTTTTGAAACAGTCTTTCTGTGGAATCTGCATGTGGATATTTGGATAGCTTGGAGGATTTCGTTGGAAACGGGATTACGTATAAAAAGTAGACAGCAGCATCCTCAGAAACTTCTTTGTGATGTGTGCATTCAAGTCACAGAGTTGAATATTCCCTTTCGTACAGCAGTTTTGAAACACTCTTTCTGTAGCATCTGGAAGTGAACATTAGAACAGCTTTCAGGTCTATGGTGAGAAAGGAAATATCTTCAAATAAAAACTAGACAGAAGCATTCTCATAAACTTGTTTCTGATGTGTGAACTCAGCTAACAGACGTGGATCTTTCTTTTGATACAGCAGTTTTGAAAAACACTTTTTGTTGAATCTGCAAGTGGACATTTGGATAGATATGAAGATTTCGTTGGAAACGGGAATATCTTCATATCAAATCTAGACAGAAGCATTCTCAGCAAACGTCTTTGTGATGTTTGCATTCAACTCATAGAGTTGAACATTCCGTTTCAGAGCAGCAGCTTTGAAGCACTCTTTTTGTAGTATGTGCAAGTGGATATTTGGATCGCTGTGAGGCCTAAGGTGAAAAAGCAAATATCTTCCCATAACCACTAGACAGAAACATTCTCAGAAACGCCTTTATGACGTATGCACTCACCTAACAGAAAAGAACCTTTCTTTTGACAGAGCAGTTTTGATACACTCTTTTTGTAGAATCTGCAAGTGGATATTTGGATAGCTGTGAAGATTTCGTTGGAAACGGGAATATCTTCCTATAAAATCTAGACAGAAGCATTCTCAGAAACTGCTCTGTGATGTCTGCATTCAAGTCACAGAGTTGAACATTGCCTTTCATAGAGCAGGTTTGAAACGCTCTTTTTGTAGTATATGGAAGTGGATGTTTCGGACGGTTGGAGGCCCATGGTGATAAAGGGAGTATCTTCCCCTACAAGCTAGAAAGAAGCATTCTGTGAAACTTGTTTGTGATGTGTGTACTCAACTAACAGAGTTGAACCTTTCTTTTTACAGAGCAGTTTTGAAACACTCTTTTTGTAGAATCTGCGAGGGGATAATTGGATAGATTTCAGGATTTCATTGGAAACGGGAATATCTTCATATAAAATCTCGACAGAAGCATTCTCAGAAACTTCTTTGTGATATGTGCATTCAAGTCACAGAGTTGAATATTCCCTTTCACAGAGTAGGTTTGAAACACCCTTTTTGTAGTATCTGGAAGTGGACATTTGGAGCGCCTTGACACCTACGGTGAAAAGGGAAATATCTTCCCATAAAAACTAGACAGAAGCAATCTCAGAATCTTCTTTGGGATATATGCACGCAGCTAACAGAGTTGAACCTTTCTATTGACAGAGCAGTTTTGAAACACTCTTTCTGTGGAATCTGCAAGTGGATATTTCGATAGCTTGGAGGATTTCGTTGGAAACGGGATTACGTATAAAAAGTAGACAGCAGCATCCTCAGAAACTTCTTTGTGATGTGTGCATTCAAGTCACAGAGTTGAACATTCCCTTTCGTACAGCAGTTTTGAAACACTCTTTCTGTAGTATCTGGAAGTGAACATTAGGACAGCTTTCAGGTCTATGGTGAGAAAGGAAATATCTTCAAGTAAAAACTAGACAGAAGCATTCTCATAAACTTGTTTGTGATGTGGGAACTCAGCTAACAGAGGCGGATCTTTCTGTTGATAGAGCAGTTCGGAAAAACACTTTTTGTTGAATCTGCAAGTGGACATTTGGATAGATTTGAAGATTTCGTTGGAAACGGGAATATCTTCATATCAAATCTAGACAGAAGCATTCTCAGAAACGTCTTTCTGATGTTTGCATTCAACTCATAGAGTTGAACATTCCCTTTCAGAGAGCAGCTTTGAAGCACTCTTTTTGTAGTATGTGCAAGGGGATATATGGAGCGCTCTGAGGCCTAAGGTGAAAAAGCAAATATCTTCCCATAACCACTAGACAGAAACATTCTCAGAAACTCCTTTATGACGTATGCACTCACCTAACAGAGAAGAACCTTCCTTTTGACAGAGCAGTTTTGATACACTCTTTTTGTAGAATCTGCAAGTGGATATTGGGATAGCTGTGAAGATTTCGTTGGAAACGGGAATATCTTCCTATAAAATCTAGACAGAAGCATTCTCAGAAACTGCTCTGTGATGTCTGCATTCAAGTCACAGAGTTGAACATTGCCTTTCCTAGAGCAGGTTTGAAACGCTCTTTTTGTAGTATATGGAAGTGGACGTTTCGGACGGTTTGAGGCCCATGGTGATAAAGGGAATATCTTCCCCTATAAGCTAGAAAGAAGCATTCTGTGAAACTTGTTTGTGATGTGTGTACTCAACTAACAGAGTTGAACCTTTCTTTTTACAGAGCAGTTTTGAAACACTCTTTTTGTAGAATCTGCGAGGGGATATTTGGATAGATTTCAGGATTTCGTTGGAAACGGGAATATCTTCATAGAAAATGCTCGACAGAAGCATTCTCAGAAACTTCCTTGTGATATGTGCATTCAAGTCACAGAGTTGAATATTCCCTTTCACAGAGTAGGTTTGAAACACTCTTTTTGTAGTATCTGGAAGTGGACATTTGGAGCGCCTTGACGCCCACGGTGAAAAGGGAAATATCTTCCCATAAAAACTAGACAGAAGCAATCTCAGAATCTTCTTTGGGATATATGCACGCAGCTAACAGAGTTGAACCTTTCTATTGACAGAGCAGTTTTGAAACAGTCTTTCTGTGGAATCTGCAAGTGGATATTTGGATAGCTTGGAGGATTTCGTTGGAAACGGGATTAAGTATAAAAAGTAGACAGCAGCATCCTCAGAAACTTCTTTGTGATGTGTGCATTCAAGTCACAGAGTTGAACATTCCCTTTTGTACAGCAGTTTTGAAACACTCTTTCTGTAGTATCTGGAAGTGAACATTAGGACAGCTTTCAGGTCTATGGTGAGAAAGAAAATATCTTCAAATAAAAACTAGACAAAAGCATTCTCATAAACTTGTTTGTGATGTGTGAACTCAGCTAACAGAGGTGGATCTTTCTTTTGATAGAGCAGTTCTGAAAAACACTTTTTGTTGAATCTGCAAGTGGATATTTGGATAGATTTGAAGATTTCGTTGGAAACGGGAATATCTTCATATCAAATCTAGACAGAAGCATTCTCAGAAACGTCTTTGTGATGTTTGCATTCAACTCATAGAGTTGAACATTCCCTTTCAGAGAGGAGCTTTGAAGCACTCTTTTTGTAGTATGTGCAAGGGGATATTTGGAGCGCTCTGAGGCCTAAGGTGAAAAAGCAAATATCTTCCCATAACCACTAGACAGAAACATTCTCAGAAATTTCTTTATGACGAATTTACTCAACTAGCAGAGAAGAACTTTCCTTTTGACAGAGCACTTTTGATACACTCTTTTTTAGTATCTGCAAGTGGATATTTGGATAGCTGTGAAGATTTCGTTGGAAACGGGAATATCTTCCTATAAACTCTGGACAGAAGCATTCTCAGAAACTGCTCTGTGATGTCTGCATTCAAGTCACAGAGTTCAACATTGCCTTTCATAGAGCAGGTTTGAAACGCTCTTTTTGTAGTATATGGAAGTGGATGTTTCGGACGGTTGGAGGCCCATGGTGACAAAGGGAATATCTTCCCCTACAAGCTAGAAAGAAAGCATTCTGTGAAACTTGTTTGTGATGTGTGTACTCAACTAACAGGAGTTGAACCTTTCTTTTTACAGAGCAGTTTTGAAACACTCTTTTTGTAGAATCTGCGAGGGGATATTTGGATACATTTCAGCATTTCGTTGGAAACGGGAATATCTTCATATAAAATCTCGACAGAAGCATTCTCAGAAACTTCTTTGTGATATGTGCATTCAAGTCACAGAGTTGAATATTCCCTTTCCCAGAGTAGGTTTGAAACACTCTTTTTGTAGTATCTGGAAGTGGACATTTGGAGCGCCTTGACACCTACGGTGAAAAGGGAAATATCTTCCCATAAAAACTAGACAGAAGCAATCTCAGAATCTTCTTTGGGATATATGCACGCAGCTAACAGAGTTGAACCTTTCTATTGACAGAGCAGTTTTGAAACAGTCTTTCTGTGCAATCTGCAAGTGGATATTTGGATAGCTTGGAGGATTTCGTTGGAAACGGGATTACGTATAAAAAGTAGACAGCAGCATCCTCAGAAACTTCTTTGTGATGTGTGCATTCAAGTCACAGAGTTGAACATTCCCTTTCGTACAGCAGTTTTGAAACACTCTTTCTGTAGTATCTGGAAGTGAACATTAGGACAGCTTTCAGTTCTATGGTGAGAAAGGAAATATCTTCAAATAAAAACTAGACAGAAGCATTCTCATCAACTTGTTTGTGATGTGTGAACTCAGCTAACACACGTGGATCTTTCTTTTGATAGAGCAGTTCTGAAAAACACTTTGTTGAATCTGCAAGTGGACATTTGGATAGATTTCAAGATTTCGTTGGAAACGGGAATATCTTCATATCAAATCTAGACAGAAGCATTCTCAGAAACGTCTTTGTGATGTTTGCATTCAACTCATAGAATTGAACATTGCGGTTCAGAGAGCAGCTTTGAAGCACTCTTTTTGTAGTATGTGCAAGTGGATATTTGGAGCGCTCTGAGGCCTAAGGTGAAAAAGCAAATATCTTCCCATAACCACTAGACAGAAACATTCTCAGAAACTTCTTTATGACGTATGTACTCAACTAGCAGAGAAGAACTTTCCTTTTGACAGAGCACTTTTGATACACTCTTTTTGTAGTATCTGCAAGTGGATATTTGGATAGCTGTGAAGATTTCGTTTGAAACGGGAATATCTTCCTATAAAGTCTGGACAGAAGCATTCTCAGAAACTGCTCTGTGATGTCTGCATTCAAGTCACAGAGTTGAACATTGCCTTTCATAGAGCAGGTTTCAAACACTCTTTTTTTAGTATATGGAAGTGGACGTTTCGGACGGTTTGAGGACCATGGTGATAAAGGAAATATCTTCCCCTACAAGCTAGAAAGAAGCATTGTGTGAAACTTGTTTGTGATGTGTGTACTCAACTAACAGAGTTGAACCTTTCTTTTTACAGAGCAGTTTTGAAACACTCTTTTTGTAGAATCTGCAAGGGGATATTTGGATAGATTTCAGGATTTCGTTGGAAACGGGAATATCTTCATATAAAATCTCGACAGAAGCATTCTCAGAAACTTCTTTGTGATATCTGCATTCAAGTCACAGAGTTGAATATTCCCTTTCACAGAGTAGGTTTGAAACACTCTTTTTGTAGTATCTGGAAGTGGGCATTTGGAGCGCTTTGACGCCTACGGTGAAAAGGGAAATATCTTCCCATAAAAACTAGACAGAAGCAATCTCAGAATCTTCTTTGGGATATATGCACGCAGCTAACAGAGTTGAACCTTTCTATTGACAGAGCAGTTTTGAAACAATCTTTCTGTGGAATCTGCAAGTGGATATTTGGATAGCTTGGAGGATTTCGTTGGAAACGGGATTACGTATAAAAAGTAGACAGCAGCATCCTCAGGAACTTCTTTGTGATGTGTGCATTCAAGTCACAGAGTTGAACATTCCCTTCCGTACAGCAGTTTTGAAACACTCTTTCTGTAGTATCTGGAAGTGAACATTAGGACAGCTTTCAGGTTTATGGTGAGAAAGGAAATATCTTCAAATAAAAACTAGACAGAAGCATTCTCATAAACTTGTTCGTAATGTGTGAACTCAGCTAACACACGTGGATCTTTCTTTTGATAGAGCAGTTCTGAAAAACACTTTTTTTTGAATCTGCAAGTGGACATTTGGATAGATTTGAAGATTTCGTTGGAAACGGGAATATCTTCATATCAAATCTAGACAGAAGCATTCTCAGAAACGTCTTTGTGATGTTTGCATTCAACTCATAGAGTTGAACATTCCGTTTCAGAGAGCAGCTTTGAAGCACTCTTTTTGTAGTATATGCAAGTGGATATTTGGAGCGCTCTGAGGCCTACGGTGAAAAAGCAAATATCTTCCCATAACCACTAGACAGAAACATTCTCAGAAACTCCTTTATGACGGTATGCACTCACCTAACAGAGAAGAACCTTCCTTTTGACAGAGCAGTTTTGATACACTCTTTTTGTAGAATCTGCAAGTGGATATTTGGATACCTGTGAAGATTTCGTTGGAAACGGGAATATCTTCCTATAAAATCTAGACAGAAGCATTCTCAGAAACTGCTCTGTGATGTCTGCATTCAAGTCACAGAGTTGAACATTGCCTTTCATAGAGCAGGTTTGAAATGCTCTTTTTGTAGTATATGGAAGTGGACGTTTCAGACGGTTTGAGGCCCATGGTGATAAAGGGAATATCTTCCCCTAAAAGCTAGAAAGAAGCATTCTGTGAAACTTGTTTGTGATGTGTGTACTCAACTAACAGAGTTGAACCTTTCTTTTTACAGAGCAGTTTTGAAACACTCTTTTTGTAGAATCTGCGAGGGGATATTTGGATAGATTTCAGGATTTCGTTGGCAACGGGAGTATCTTCACATAAAATCTCGACAGAAGCATTCTCAGAAACTTCCTTGTGATATGTGCATTCAAGTCACAGAGTTGAATATTCCCTTTCACAGAGTAGGTTT
Organism: Homo sapiens; assembly: GCF_000001405.40. Classification (NCBI taxonomy): domain Eukaryota; kingdom Metazoa; phylum Chordata; class Mammalia; order Primates; family Hominidae; genus Homo; species Homo sapiens. The sequence goes on from NC_000013.11 coordinate 17,198,807, forward strand.
GAAACACTCTTTTTGTAGTATCTGGAAGTGGTCATTTGGAGCGCCTTGACGCCACGGTGAAAAGGGAAATATCTTCCCATAAAAACTAGACAGAAGCAATCTCAGAATCTTCTTTGGGATATATGCATGCAGCTAACAGAGTTGAACCTTTCTATTGACAGAGCAGTTTTGAAACAGTCTTTCTGTGGAATCTGCAAGTGGATATTTGGATAGCTTGGAGGATTTCGTTGGAAACGGTATTACATATAAAAAGTAGACAGCAGCATACTCAGAAACTTCTTTGTGATGTGTGCATTCAAGTCACAGAGTTGAACATTCCCTTTCGTACAGCAGTTTTGAAACACTCTTTCTGTAGTATCTGGAAGTGAACATTAGGACAGCTTTCAGGTCTATGGTGAGAAAGGAAATATCTTCAAATAAAAACTAGACAGAAGCATTCTCATAAACTTGTTCGTAATGTGTGAACTCAGCTAACACACGTGGATCTTTCTTTTGATAGAGCAGTTCTGAAAAACACTTTTTGTTGAATCTGCAAGTGGACATTTGGATAGATTTGAAGATTTCGTTGGAAACGGGAATATCTTCATATCAAATCTAGACAGAAGCATTCTCGGAAACGTCTTTGTGATGTTTGCATTCAACTCATAGAGTTGAACATTCCGTTTCAGAGAGCAGCTTTGAAGCACTCTTTTTGTAGTATGTGCAAGGGGATATTTGGAGCGCTCTGAGGCCTAAGGTGAAAAAGCAAATATCTTCCCATAACCACTAAACAGAAACATTCTCAGAAACTTCTTTATGACGTATGTACTCAACTAGCAGAGAAGAACTTTCCTTTTGAGAGAGCATTTTTGATACACTCTTTTTGTAGTATCTGCAGGTGGATATTTGGATAGCTGTGAAGATTTCGTTGGAAACGGGAATATCTTCCTATAAAGTCTGGACAGAAGCATTCTCAGAAACTGCTCTGTGATGTCTGCATTCAAGTCACAGAGTTGAACATTGCCTTTCCTAGAACAGGTTTGAAACGCTCTTTTTGTAGTATATGGAAGTGGACGTTTCGGCCTGTTTGAGGCCCATGGTGATAAAGGGAATATCTTCCCCTACAAGCTAGAAAGAAGCATTGTGTGAAACTTGTTTGTGATGTGTGTACTCAACTAACAGAGTTGAACCTTTCTTTTTACAGAGCAGTTTTGAAACACTCTTTTTGTAGAATCTGCGAGGGGAAATTTGGATAGATTTCAGGATTTCGTTGGAAACGGGAATATCTTCATATAAAATCTCGACAGAAGCATTCTCAGAAACTTCTTTGTGATATCTGCATTCAAGTCACAGAGTTGAATATTCCCTTTCACAGAGTAGGTTTGAAACACTCTTTGTAGTATCTGGAAGTGGACATTTGGAGCGCCTTGACGCCTACGGTGAAAAGGGAAATATCTTCCCATAAAAACTAGACAGAAGCAATCTCAGAATCTTCTTTGGGATATATGCACGCAGCTAACAGAGTTGAACCTTTCTATTGACAGAGCAGTTTTGAAACAGTCTTTCTGTGGAATCTGCAAATGGATATTTGGATAGCTTGGAGGATTTCGTTGGAAACGGGATTATGTATAAAAAGTAGACAGCAGCATCCTCAGAAACTTCTTTGTGATGTGTGCATTCAAGTCCCAGAGTTGAACATTCCCTTTCGTACAGCAGTTTTGAAACACTCTTTCTGTAGTATCTGGAAGTGAACATTAGGACAGCTTTCAGGTCTATGGTGAGAAAGGAAATATCTTCAAATAAAAACTAGACAGAAGCATTCTCATAAACTTGTTTGTGATGTCTGAACTCAGCTAACAGAGGTGGATCTTTCTTTTGATAGAGCAGTTCTGAAAAACACTTTTGGTTGAATCTGCAAGTGGACATTTGGATAGATTTGAAGACTTCGTTGGAAACGGGAATATCTTCATATCAAATCTAGACAGAAGCATTCTCAGAAATGTCTTTGTGATGTTTGCATTCAACTCATAGAGTTGAACATTCCGTTTCAGAGACCAGCTTTGAAGCACTCTTTTTGTAGTATGTGCAAGTGGATATTTGGAGCGCTCTGAGGCCTACGGTGAAAAAGCAAATATCTTCCCATAACCACTAGACAGAAACATTCTCAGAAACTTCTTTATGACGTATGTACTCAACTAGCAGAGAAGAACTTTCCTTTTGACAGAGCATTTTTGATACACTCTTTTTGTACTATCTGCAAGTGGATATTTGGATAGCTGTGAAGATTTCGTTGGAAACGGGAATATCTCCCTATAAAGTCTGGACAGAAGCATTCTCAGAAACTGCTCTGTGATGTCTGCATTCAAGTCACAGAGTTGAACATTGCCTTTCATAGAGCAGGTTTGAAACGCTCTTTTTGTATTATATGGAAGTGGATGTTTCGGACGGTTGGAGGCCCATGGTGATAAAGGGAATATCTTCCCCTACAAGCTAGAAAGAAGCATTCTGTGAAACTTGTTTGTGATGTGTGTACTCAACTAACAGAGTTGAACCTTTCTTTTTACAGAGCAGTTTTGAAACACTCTTTTTGTAGAATCTGCGAAGGGAAATTTGGATAGATTTCAGGATTTCGTTGGAAACGGGAATATCTTCATACAAAATCTCGACAGAAGCATTCTCAGAAACTTCTTTGTGATATGTGCATTCAAGTCACAGAGTTGAATATTCCCGTTCACAGAGTAGGTTTGAAACACTCTTTTTGTAGTATCTGGAAGTGGACATTTGGAGCGCCTTGACTCCTACCGCGTGAAAAGGGAAATATCTTCCCATAAAAACTAGACAGAAGCAATCTCAGAATCTTCTTTGTGATATATGCACGCAGCTAACAGAGTTGAACCTTTCTATTGACAGAGCAGTTTTGAAACAGTCTTTCTGTGGAATCTGCAAGTGGATATTTGGATAGCTTGGAGGATTTCGTTGGAAACGGGATTATGTATAAAAAGTAGACAGCAGCATCCTCAGAAACTTCTTTGTGATGTGTGCATTCAAGTCACAGAGTTGAACATTCCCTTTCGTACAGCAGTTTTGAAACACTCTTTCTGTAGTATCTGGAAGTGAACATTAGGAGAGCTTTCAGGTCTATGTTGAGAAAGGAAATATCTTCAAATAAAAACTAGACAGAAAGCATTCTCATAAACTTCTTTGTGATGTGTGAACTCAGCTAACCGAGGTGGATCTTTCTTTTGATAGAGCAGTTCTGAAAAAAACTTTTTGTTGAATCTGCAAGTGGACATTTGGATAGATTTGAAGATTTCGTTGGGAACGGGAATATCTTCATATCAAATCTAGACAGAAGCATTCTCGGAAACGTCTTTGTGATGTTTGCATTCAACTCATAGAGTTGAACATTCCGTTTCAGAGAGCAGCTTTGAAGCACTCTTTTTGTAGTATGTGCAAGTGGATATTTGGAGCGCTCTGAGGCCTACGGTGAAAAAGCAAATATCTTCCCATAACCACTAGACAGAAAGATTCTCAGAAACTCCTTTATGACGTATGCACTCACCTAACAGAGAAGAACCTTCCTTTTGACAGAGCAGTTTTGATACACTCTTTTTGTAGAATCTGCAAGTGGATATTTGGATAGCTGTGAAGATTTCGTTGGAAACGGGAATATCTTCCTATAAAATCTAGACAGAAGCATTCTCAGAAACTGCTCTGTGATGTCTGCATTCAAGTCACAGAGTTGAACATTGCCTTTCCTAGAGCAGGTTTGAAACGCTCTTTTTGTAGTATATGGAAGTAAACGTTTCGGACGGTTTGAGGCCCATGGTGATAAAGGGAATATCTTCCCCTACAAGCTAGAAAGAAGCATTGTGTGAAACTTGTTTGTGATGTGTGTACTCAACTAACAGAGTTGAACCTTTCTTTTTACAGAGCAGTTTTGAAACACTCTTTTTTTAGAATCTGCGAGGGGATATTTGGATACATTTCAGGATTTCGTTGGAAACGGGAATATCTTCATATAAAATCTCGACAGAAGCATTCTCAGAAACTTCTTTGTGATATGTGCATTCGAGTCACAGAGTTGAATATTCCCTTTCACAGAGTAGGTTTGAAACACTCTTTTTGTAGTATCTGGAAGTGGACATTTGGAGCGCCTTGACGCCTACGGTGAAAAGGGAAATATCTTCCCATAAAAACTAGACAGAAGCAATCTCAGAATCTTCTTTGTGATATATGCACGCAGCTAACAGAGTTGAACCTTTCTATTGACTGAGCAGATTTGAAACAGTCTTTCTGTGGAATCTGCAAGTGGATATTTGGATAGCTTGGAGGATTTCGTTGGAAACGGGATTACGTATAAAAAGTAGACAGCAGCATCCTCAGAAACTTCTTTGTGATGTGTGCATTCAAGTCACAGAGTTGAACATTCCCTTTCGTACAGCAGTTTTGAAACACTCTTTCTGTAGTATCTGGAAGTGAACATTAGGATAGCTTTCAGGTCTATGGTGAGAAAGGGAATATCTTCAAATAAAAACTAGACAGAAGCATTCTCATAAACTTGTTTGTGATGTGTGAACTCAGCAAACAGCGGTGGATCTTTCTTTTGATAGAGCAGTTCTGAAAAACACTTTTTGTTGAATCTGCAAGTGGACATTTGGATAGTTTTGAAGGTTTCGTTGGAAACGGGAATATCTTCATATCAAATCTAGACAGAAAGGATTCTCGGAAACGTCTTTGTGATGTTTGCATTCAACTCATAGAGTTGAACATTCCCTTTCAGAGAACAGCTTTGAAGCACTCTTTTTGTAGTATGTGCAAGGGGATATTTGGAGCGCTCTGAGGCCTAAGGTGAAAAAGCAAATATCTTCCCATAACCACTAGACAGAAACATTGCTCAGAAACTCCTTTATGACGTATGCACTCACCTAACAGAGAAGAACCTTCCTTTTGACAGAGCAGTTTTGATACACTCTTTTTGTAGAATCTGCAAGTGGATATTTGGATAGCTGTGAAGATTTCGTTGGAAACGGGAATATCTTCCTATAAAATCTAGACAGAAGCATTCTCAGAAACTGCTCTGTGATGTCTGCATTCAAGTCACAGAGTTGAACATTGCCTTTCATAGAGCAGGTTTGAAACTCTCTTTTTGTAGTATATGGTAGTAGACGTTTCGGACGGTTTGAGGCCCATGGTGATAAAGGGAATATGTTACCCTACAAGCTAGAAAGAAGCATTCTGTGAAACTTGTTTGTGATGTGTGTACTCAACTAACAGAGTTGAACGTTTCTTTTTACAGAGCAGTTTTGAAACACTCTTTTTGTAGAATCTGCGAGGGGATATTTGGATACATTTCAGGATTTCGTTGGAAACGGGAATATCTTCATATAAAATCTCGACAGAAGCATTCTCAGAAACTTCTTTGTGATATGTGCATTCAAGTCACAGAGTTGAATATTCCCTTTCACAGAGTAGGTTTGAAACACTCTTTTTGTAGTATCTGGAAGTGGACATTTTGAACGCCTTGACACCTACGGTGAAAAGGGAAATATCTTCCCATAAAAACTAGACAGAAGCAATCTCAGAATCTTCTTTGGGATATATGCACGCAACTAACAGCAGTTGAACCTTTCTATTGACAGAGCAGTTTTGAAACAGTCTTTCTGTGGAATCTGCAAGTGGATATTTGGATAGCTTGGAGGATTTCTTTGGAAATGGGATTACGTATAAAAAGTAGACAGCAGCATCCTCAGAAACTTCTTTGTGATGTGTGCATTCAAGTCACAGAGTTGAACATTCCCTTTCGTACAGCAGTTTTGAAACACTCTTTCTGTAGTATCTGGAAGTGAACTTTAGGACAGCTTTCAGGTCTATAGTGAGAAAGGATATATCTTCAAATAAAAACTAGACGGAAGCATTCTGATAAACTTGTTTGTGAAGTGTGAACTCAGCTAACAGAGGTGGATCTTTCTTTCGAAACAGCAGTTTCGAAAAACACTTTTTGTTGAATCTGCAAGTGGACATTTGAATAGATTTGAAGATTTCGTTGGAAAGAGGAATATCTTCATATGAAATCTAGACAGAAGCATTCTCAGAAACGTCTTTGTGATGTTTGCATTCAACTCATAGAGTTGAACATTCCGTTTCAGAGAACAGCTTTGAAGCACTCTTTTTGTAGTATGTGCAAGTGGATATTTGGAGCGCTCTGAGGCCTACGGGGTTAAAGAAAATGTCTAACCATAACCACTAGACTGAAACATTCTCAGAAACTCCTTTATGACGTTTGTACTCAACTAACAGAGAAGAACGTTCCTATTGACAGAGCAGTTTTGATACACTCTTTTTGTAGAATCTGCAAGTGGATATTTGGATAGCTGTGAAGATTTCGTTGGAAACGGGAATATCTTCCTATAAAATCTAGACAGAAGCATTCTCAGAAACTGCTCTGTGATGTCTGCATTCAAGTCACAGAGTTGAACATTGCCTTTCCTAGAGCAGGTTTGAAACGCTCTTTTTGTAGTATATGGAAGTGGACTTTTCGGACGGTTTGAGGCCCATGGTGATAAAGGGAATATCTTCCCCTACAAGCTAGAAAGAAGCATTCTGTGAAACTTGTTTGTGATGTGTGTACTCAACTAACAGAGTTGAACCTTTCTTTTTACAGAGCAGTTTTGAAACACTCTTTTTGTAGAATCTGCGAGGGGATATTTGGAGAGACTTCAGGATTTCGTTGGAAACGGGAATATCTTCATATAAAATCTCGACAGAAGCATTCTCAGAAACTTCTTTGTGATATCTGCCTTCAAGTCACAGAGTTGAATATTCCCTTTCACAGAGTAGGTTTGAAACACTCTTTTTGTAGTATCTGGAAGTGGACATTTGGAGCGCCTCGACACCTACGGTGAAAAGGGAAATATCTTCCCATAAAAACTAGACAGAAGCAATCTCAGAATCTTCTTTGGGATATATGCACGCAGCTAACAGAGTTGAACCTTTCTATTGACAGAGCAGTTTTGAAACAGTCTTTCTGGGGAATCTGCAAGTGGATATTTGGATAGCTTGGAGGATTTCGTTGGAAACAGGATTACGTATAAAAAGTAGACAGCAGCATCCTCAGAAACTTCTTTGTGATGTGTGCATTCAAGTCACAGAGTTGAACATTCCCTTTCGTACAGCAGTTTTGAAACACTCTTTCTGTAGTATCTGGAAGTGAACATTAGAACAGCTTTCAGCTCTATGGTGAGAAAGGAAATATCTTCAAATAAAAACTAGACAGAAGCATTCTCATAAACTTGTTTGTGATGTGTGAACTCAGCTAACAGAGGTGGATCTTTCTTTTGATAGAGCAGTTCTGAAAAACACGTTTTGTTGAATCTGCAAGTGGACATTTGGATAGATTTGAAGATTTCGTTGGAAACGGGAATATCGTCATATCAAATCTAGACAGAAGCATTCTCAGAAACGTCTTTGTGATGTTTGCATTCAACTCATAGAGTTGAACATTCCCTTTCAGAGAGCAGCTTTGAAGCACTCTTTTTGTAGCATTTGCAAGTGGACATTTGGAGCGCCCTGAGGCATACGGGGAAAAAGCAAATATCTTCCCATAACCACTAGACAGAAACATTCTCAGAAACTCCTGTATGACGTGTGCACTCACCTAACAGAGAAGAACCTTCCTTTTGACAGAGCAGTTTTGATACACTCTTTTTGTAGAATTTGCAAGTGGATATTTGGATAGCTGTGAAGATTTCGTTGGAAACGGGAATATCTTCCTATAAAATCTAGACAGAAGCATTCTCAGAAACTGCTCTGTGATGTCTGCATTCAAGTCACAGAGTTGAACATTGCCTTTCCTAGAGCAGGTTTGAAACGCTCTTTTTGTAGTATATGAAAGTGGACGTTTCGGACGGTTTGAGGACCATGGTGATAAAGGGAATATCTTCCCCTACAAGCTAGAAAGAAGCATTCTGTGAAACTTGTTTGTGATGTGTGTACTCAACTAACAGAGTTGAACCTTTCTTTTCACAGAGCAGTTTTGAAACACTCTTTTTGTAGAATCTGCGAGGGGATATTTGGATAGATTTCAGGATTTCGTTGGAAAGGGGAATATCTTCATATAAAATCTCGACAGAAGCATTCTCAGAAACTTCTTTGTGATATCTGCCTTTAAGTCACAGAGTTGAATATTCCCTTTCACAGAGTAGGTTTGAAACACTCTTTTTGTAGTATCTGGAAGTGGACATTTGGAGCGCCTTGACACCTACGGTGAAAAGGGAAATATCTTCCCATAAAAACTAGACAGAAGGAATCTCAGAATCTTCTTTGGGATATATGCACGCAGCTAACAGAGTTGAACCTTTCTATTGACAGAGCAGTTTTGAAACAGTCTTTCTGTGGAATCTGCACGTGGATATTTGGATAGCTTGGAGGATTTCGTTGGAAACGGGATTACGTATAAAAAGTAGACAGCAGCATCCTCAGAAACTTCTTTGTGATGTGTGCATTCAAGTCACAGTGTTGAACATTCCCTTTCGTACAGCAGTTTTGAAACACTCTTTCTGTAGTATCTGGAAGTGAACATTAGGACAGCTTTCAGGTCTATGGTGAGAAAGGAAATATCTTCAAATAAAAACTAGACAGAAGCATTCTCATAAACTTGTTTGTGATGTGTGAACTCAGCTAACAGAGGTGGATCTTTCTTTTGATAGAGCAGTTCTGAAAAACACTTTTTGTTGAATCTGCAAGTGGACATTTGGATAGATTTGAAGATTTCGTTGGAAACGGGAATATCTATATATCAAATCTAGACAGAAGCATTCTCAGAAACGTCTTTGTGATGTTTGCATTCAACTCATAGAGTTGAACATTCCGTTTCAGAGAGCAGGTTTGAAGCACTCTCTTTGTAGTATGTGCAAGTGGATATTTGGAGGGCTCTGAGGCCTACGGTGAAAAAGCAAATATCTTCCCATAACCACTAGACAGAAACATTCTCAGAAACTCCTTTATGACGTATGCACTCACCTAACAGAGAAGAACCTTCCTTTTGACGGAGCAGTTTTGATACACTCTTTTTGTAGAATCTGCAAGTGGATATTTGGATAGCTGTGAAGATTTCGTTGGAAACGGGAATATCTTCCTATAAAATCTAGACAGAAGCATTCTCAGAAACTGCTCTGTGATGTCTGCATTCAAGTCACAGAGTTGAACATTGCCTTTCATAGAGCAGGTTTGGAACGCTCTTTTTGTAGTATATGGAAGTGGACGTTTCGGACGGTTTGAGGCCCATGGTGATAAAGGGAATATCTTCCCCTACAAGCTAGAAAGAAGCATTCTGTGAAACTTGTTTGTGATGTGTGTACTCAACTAACAGAGTTGAACCTTTCTTTTTACAGAGCAGTTTTGAAACACTCCTTTTGTAGAATCTGCGAGGGGATATTTGGATAGATTTCAGGATTTCGTTGGAAACGGGAATATCTTCATATAAAATCTCGACAGAAGCATTCTCAGAAACTTCTTTGTGATATCTGCCTTTAAGTCACAGAGTTGAATATTCCCTTTCACAGAGTAGGTTTGAAACACTCTTTTTGTAGTATCTGGAAGTGGACATTTGGAGCGCCTTGACGCCTACGGTGAAAAGGGAAATATCTTCCCATAAAAACTAGACAGAAGCAATCTCAGAATCTTCTTTGGGATATATGCACGCAGCTAACAGAGTTGAACCTTTCTATTGACAGAGCAGTTTTGAAACAGTCTTTCTGTGGAATCTGCAAGTGGATATTTGGATAGCTTTGAGGATTTCGTTGGAAACGGGATTACGTATAAAAATTAGACAGCATCATCCTCAGAAACTTCTTTGTGATGTGTGCATTCAAGTCACAGAGTTGAACATTCCCTTTCGTACAGCAGTTTTGAAACACTCTTTCTATAGTATCTGGAAGTGAACATTAGGACAGCTTTCAGGTCTATGGTGAGAAAGGAAATATCTTCAAATAAAAACTAGACAGAAGCATTCTCATAAACTTCTTTGTGATGTGTGAACTCAGCTAACAGACGTGGATCTTTCTTTTGATACAGCAGTTTTGAGAAACACTTTGTTGAATCTGCAAGTGGACATTTGGATAGATTTGAAGATTTCGTTGGAAACGGGTATATCTTCATATCAAATCTAGACAGAAGCATTCTCAGAAACGTCTTTGTGATGTTTGCATTCAACTCATAGAGTTGAACATTCCGTTTCAGAGACCAGCTTTGAAGCACTCTTTTTGTAGTATGTGCAAGTGGATATTTGGAGCGCTTCTGAGGCCTACGGTGAAAAAGCAAATATCTTCCCATAACCACTAGACAGAAACATTCTCAGAAAATCCTTTATGACGTATGCACTCACCTAACAGAGAAGAACCTTCCTTTTGACAGAGCAGTTTTGATACACTCTTTTTGTAGAATCTGCAAGTGGATATTTGGATAGCTGTGAAGATTTCGTTGGAAACGGGAATATCTTCCTATAAAATCTAGACAGAAGCATTCTCAGAAACTGCTCTGTGATGTCTGCATTCAAGTCACAGAGTTGAACATTGCCTTTCATAGAGCAGGTTTCAAACACTCCTTTTTTAGTATATGGAAGTGGACGTTTCGGACGGTTTGAGTACCATGGTGATAAAGGAAATATCTTCCCCTACAAGCTAGAAAGAAGCATTCTGTGAAACTTGTTTGTGATGTGTGTACTCAACTAACAGAGTTGAACCTTTCTTTTTACAGAGCAGTTTTGAAACACTCTTTTTGTAGAATCTGTGAGGGGATATTTGGATAGATTTCAGGATTTCGTTGGAAACGGGAATATCTTCATATAAAATCTCGACAGAAGCATTCTCAGAAACTTCTTTGTGATATCTGCATTCAAGTCACAGAGTTGAATATTCCCTTTCACAGAGTAGGTTTGAAACACTCCTTTTGTAGTATCTGGAAGTGGACATTTGGAGCGCCTTGACGCCTACGGTGAAAAGGGAAATATCTTCCCATAAAAACTAGACAGAAGCAATCTCAGAATCATCTTTGGGATATATGCACGCAGCTAACAGAGTTCAACCTTTCTATTGACAGAGCAGTTTTGAAACAGTCTTTCTGTGGAATCTGCAAGTGGATATTTGGATAGCTTGGAGGATTTCGTTGGAAACGGGATTACGTATAAAAAGTAGACAGCAGCATCCTCAGAAACTTCTTTGTGATGTGTGCATTCAAGTCACAGAGTTGAACATTCCCTTTCGTACAGCAGTTTTGAAACACTCTTTCTGTATTATCTGGGAGTGAACATTAGGACAGCTTTCAGGTCTATGGTGAGAAAGGAAATATCTTCAAATAAAAACCAGACAGAAGAATTCTGATAAACTTGTTTGTGAAGTGTGAACTCAGCTAACAGAGGTGGATCTTTCTTTTGATACAGCAGTTTTGAAAAACACTTTGTTGAATCTGCAAGTGGACATTTGGATAGATTTGAAGATTTCGTTGGAAACGGGAATATCTTCATATCAAATCTAGACAGAAGCATTCTCAGAAACGTCTTTGTGATGTTTGCATTCAACTGATAGGGTTGAACATTCCCTTTCAGAGAGCAGCTTTGAAGCAATCTTTTTGTAGCATGTGCAAGTGGACATTTTGAGCGCTCTGAGGCCTATGGTGAAAAAGCAAATATCTTCCCATAACCACTAGACAGAAACATTCTCAGAAACTTCTTTATGACGTATGTACTCAACTAGCAGAAAAGAACTTTCCTTTTGACAGAGCTTTTTTGATACACTCTTTTTGTAGTATCTGCAAGTGGATATTTGGATAGCTGTAAAGATTTCGTTGGAATCGGGAATATCTTCCTATAAAGTCTGGACAGAAGCATTCTCAGAAACTGCTCTGTGATGTCTGCATTCAAGTCACAGAGTTGAACATTGCCTTTCATACAGCAGGTTTGAAATGCTCTTTTTGTAGTATATGGAAGTGGACGTTTCAGACGGTTTGAGGCCCATGGTGATAAAGGGAATATCTTCCGCTACAAGCTAGAAAGAAGCATTCTGTGAAACTTGTTTGTGATGTGTGTACTCAACTAACAGAGTTAAACCTTTCTTTTTACAGAACAGTTTTGAAACACTCTTGTTGTAGAATCTGCGAGGGGATATTTGGATAGATTTCAGGATTTCGTTGGAAACGGGAATATCTTCATATAAAATCTCGACAGAAGCATTCTCAGAAACTTCATTGTGATATGTGCATTCAAGTCACAGAGTTGAATATTCCCTTTCACAGAGTAGGTTTGAAACACTCTTTTTGTAGTATCTGGAAGTGGACATTTGGAGCGCTTTGACGCCTACGGTGAAAAGGGAAATATCTTCTCATAAAAACTAGACAGAAGCAATCTCAGAATCTTCTTTGGGATATATGCACGCAGCTAACAGAGTTGAACCTTTCTATTGACAGAGCAGTTTTGAAACAGTCTTTCTGTGGAATCTGCAAGTGGATATTTGGATAGCTTGGAGGATTTCGTTGGAAACGGGATTACAGTATAAAAAGTAGACAGCAGCATCCTCAGAAACTTCCTTGTGATGTGTGCATTCAAGACACACAGTTGAACATTCCCTTTCGTACAGCAGTTTTGAAACACTCTTTCTGTAGTATCTGGAAGTGAACATTAGGAGAGCTTTGAGGTCTATAGTGAGAAAGGGTATATCTTCAAATAAAAACTAGACAGAAGCATTCTCATAAACTTGTTTGTGATGTGTGAACTCATCTAACAGAGGTGGATCTTTCTTTTGATAGAGCAGTTCTGAAAAACACTTTTTGTGGAATCTGCAAGTGGACATTTGGATAGATTTGAAGATTTCGTTGGAAACGGGAATATCTTCATATCAAATCTAGACAGAAGCATTCTCAGAAACCTCTTTGTGATGTTTGCATTCAACTCATAGAGTTGAACATTCCGTTTCAGAGAGCAGCTTTGAAGCACTCTTTTTGTAGTATGTGCAAGTGGATATTTGGAGCGCTGTGAGGCCTACGGTGAAAAAGCAAATATCTTCCCATAACCACTAGACAGAAACATTCTCAGAAACTCCTTTATGACGTATGCACTCACCTAACAGAGAAGAACCTTCCTTTTGACAGAGCAGTTTTGATACACTCTTTTTGTAGAATCTGCAAGTGGATATTTGGATAGCTGTGAAGATTTCGTTGGAAACGGGAATTTCTTCCTATAAAATCTAGACAGAGGCATTCTCAGAAACAGCTCTGTGATGTCTGCATTCAAGTCACAGAGTTGAACATTGCCTATCATAGAGCAGGTTTGAAACGCTCTTTTTGAAGTATATGGAAGTGGACGTTTCAGACGGTTTGAGGCCCAGGGTGATAAAGGGAATATATTCCCCTACAAGCTAGAAAGAAGCATTCTGTGAAACTTGTTTGTGATGTGTGCACTCAACTAACAGAGTTGAACCTTTCTTTTTACAGAGCAGTTTTGAAACACTCTTTTTGTAGAATCTGTGAGGGGATATTTGGATACATTTCAGGATTTCGTTGGAAACGGGAATATCTTCATATAAAATCTCGACAGAAGCATTCTCAGAAACTTCTTTGTGATATGTGCATTCAAGTCACAGAGTTGAATATTCCCTTTCACAGAGTAGGTTTGAAACACTCTTTTTGTAGTATCTGGAAGTGGACATCTGGAGCGCCTTGACACCTACGGTGAAAAGGGAAATATCTTCCCATAAAAACTAGACAGAAGCAATCTCAGAATCTTCTTTGGGATATATGCACGCAGCTAACAGAGTTGAACCTTTCTATTGACAGAGCAGTTTTGAAACAGTCTTTCTGTGGAATCTGCAAGTGGATATTTGGATAGCTTGGAGGATTTCATTGGAAACGGGATTACGTATAAAAAGTAGACAGCAGCATCCTCAGAAACTTCTTTGTGATGTGTGCATTCAAGTCACAGAGTTGAACATTCCCTTTCGTACAGCAGTTTTGAAACACTCTTTCTGTAGCATCTTTAAGTGAACATTAGGACAGCTTTCAGGTCTATGGTGAGAAAGGAAATATCTTCAAATAAAAACTAGACAGAAGCATTCTCATAAACTTGTTTCTGATGTGTGAACTCAGCTAACAGAGGTGGATCTTTCTTTTGATAGAGCAGATCTGAAAAACACTTTTTGTTGAATCTGCAAGTGGACATTTGGATAGATTTGAAGATTTCGTTGGAAACGGGAATATCTTCATATCAAATCTAGACAGAAGCATTGTCAGAAACGTCTTTGTGATGTTTGCATTCAACTCATAGAGTTGAACATTCCCTTTCAGAGAGCAGCTTTGAAGCACTCTTTTTGTAGTATGTGCAAGTGGATATTTGGAGCGCTCTGAGGCCTTCGGTGAAAAAGCAAATATCTTCCCATAACCACTAGACAGAAACATTCTCAGAAACTCCTTTATGACGTATGCACTCACCTAACAGAGAAGAACCTTCCATTTGACAGAGCAGTTTTGATACACTCTTTTTGTAGAATCTGCAAGTGGATATTTGGATAGCTGTGAAGATTTCGCTGGAAACGGGAATATCTTCCTATAAAATGCTAGACAGAAGCATTCTCAGAAACTGCTCTGTGATGTCTGCATTCAAGTCACAGAGTTGAACATTGCCTTTCATAGAGCAGGTTTGAAACGCTCTTTTTGTAGTATATGGAAGTGGATGTTTCGGACGGTTGGAGGCCCATGGTGATAAAGGGATTATCTTCCCCTACAAGCTAGAAAGAAGCATTCTGTGAAACTTGTTTGTGATGTGTGTACTCAACTAACAGAGTTGAACCTTTCTTTTTACAGAGCAGTTTTGAAACACTCTTTTTGTAGAATCTGCGAGGGGATATTTGGATACATTTCAGCATTTCGTTGGAAACGGGAATATATTCATATAAAATCTCGACAGAAGCTTTCTCAGAAACTTCTTTGTGATATGTGCATTCAATTCACAGAGTTGAATATTCCCTTTCACAGAGTAGGTTTGAAACACTCTTTTTGTAGTATCTGGAAGTGGACATTTGGAGCGCCTTGACACCTACGGTGAAAAGGGAAATATCTTCCCATAAAAACTAGACAGAAGCAATCTCAGAATCTTCTTTGGGATATATGCACGCAGCTAACAGAGTTGAACCTTTCTATTGACAGAGCAGTTTTGAAACAGTCTTTCTGTGGAATCTGCAAGTGGATATTTGGATAGCTTGGAGGATTTCGTTGGAAACGGAATTACGTATAAAAAGTAGACAGCAGCATCCTCAGAAACTTCTTTGTGATGTGAGCATTCAAGTCACAGAGTTGAACATTCCCTTTCGTACAGCAGTTTTGAAACACTCTTTCTGTAGTATCTGGAAGTCAACGTTAGGACAGCTTTCAGCTCTATGGTGAGAAAGGAAATATCTTCAAATAAAAACTAGACAGAAACATTCTCATAAACTTGTTTGTGATGTGTGAACTCAGCTAAGAGACGTGGATCTTTCTTTTGATAGAGCAGTTCTGAAAAACACGTTTTGTTGAATCTGCAAGTGGACATTTGGATAGATTTGAAGATTTCGTTGGAAACGGGAATATCTTCATATCAAATCTAGACAGAAGCATTCTCAGAAACGTCTTTGTGATGTTTGCATTCAACTCATAGAGTTGAACATTCCGTTTCAGAGAGCAGCTTTGAAGCACTCTTTTTGTAGTATGTGCAAGTGGATATTTGGAGCGCTCTGAGTCCTACGGGGAAAAAGCAAATATCTTCCCATAACCACTAGACTGAAACATTCTCAGAAACTCCTTTATGACGTATGCACTCACCTAACAGAAACGAACCTTCCTTTTGACAGAGCAGTTTTGATACACTCTTTTTGTAGAATCTGCAAGTGGATATTTGGATAGCTGTGAAGATTTCATTGGAAACGGGAATATCTTCCTATAAAATCTAGACAGAAGCATTCTCAGAAACTGCTCTGTGATGTCTGCATTCAAGTCACAGAGTTGAACATTGCCTTTCATAGAGCAGGTTTGAAATGCTCTTTTTGTAGTATATGGAAGTGGACGTTTCAGACGGTTTGAGGCCCATGGTGATAAAGGGAATATCTTCCCCTGCAAGCTAGAAAGAAAGCATTGTGTGAAACTTGTTTGTGATGTGTGTACTCAACTAACAGAGTTGAACCTTTCTTTTCACAGAGCAGTTTTGAAACACTCTTTTTGTAGAATCTGCGAGGGGATACTTGGATAGATTTCAGGATTTCGTTGGAAACGGGAATATCTTCATATAAAATCTCGACAGAAGCATTCTCAGAAACTTCTTTGTGATATGTGCATTCAAGTCACAGAGTTGAATATTCCCTTTCACAGAGTAGGTTTGAAACACTCTTTTTGTAGTATCTGGAAGTGGACATTTGGAGCGCCTTGACACCTACGGTGAAAAGGGAAGTATCTTCCCATCAAAACTAGACAGAAGCAATCTCAGAATCTTCCTTGGGATATATGCACGCAACTAACAGAGTTGAACCTTTCTATTGACAGAGCAGTTTTGAAACAGTCTTTCTGTGGAATCTGCAAGTGGATATTTGGATAGCTTGGAGGATTTCCTTGGAAACGGGATTACGTATAAAAAGTAGACAGCAGCATCCTCAGAAACTACTTTGTGATGTGTGCATTCAAGTCACAGAGTTGAACATTCCCTTTCGTACAGCAGTTTTGAAACACTCTTTCTGTAGTATCTGGAAGTGAACATTAGGACAGCTTTCAGGTCTATAGTGAGAAAGGATATATCTTCAAATAAAAACTAGACAGAAGCATTCTCATAAACTTGTTTGTGATGTGTGAACTCAGCTAACAGAGGTGGATCTTTCTTTTGATAGAGCAGTTCTCAAAAACACTTTTTGTTGAATCTGCAAGTGGACATTTGGATAGATTTGAAGATTTCGTTGGAAACGGGAATATCTTCATATCAAATCTAGACAGAAGCATTCTCAGAAACGTCTTTGTGATGTTTGCATTCAACTCATAGAGTTGAACATTCCCTTTCAGAGAGCAGCTTTGAAACACTCTTTTTGTAGTATGTGCAAGTGGATATTTGGAGCGCTCTGAGGCCTACGGTGAAAAAGAAAATATCTTCCCATAACCACTAGACAGAAACATTCTCAGAAACTCCTTTATGACGGTATGCACTCACCTAACAGAGAAGAACCTTCCTTTTGACAGAGCAGTTTTGATACACTCTTTTTGTAGAATCTGCAAGTGGATATTTGGATAGCTGTGAAGATTTTGTTGGAAACGGGAATATCTTCCTATAAAATCTAGACAGAAGCATTCTCAGAAACTGCTCTGTGATGTCTGCATTCAAGTCACAGGGTTGAACATTGCCTTTCCTAGAGCAGGTTTGAAACGCTCTTTTTGTAGTATATGGAAGTGGACGTTTCGGACGGTTTGAGGCCCATGGTGATAAAGGGAATATCTTCCCCTACAAGCTAGAAAGAAGCATTCTGTGAAACTTGTTTGTGATGTGTGTACTCAACTAACAGAGTTGAACCTTTCTTTTTACAGAGCAGTTTTGAAACACTCTTTTTGTAGAATCTGCGAGGGGATATTTGGATAGATTTCAGGATTTCTTTGGAAACGGGAATATCTTCATATAAAATCTCGACAAAAGCATTCTCAGAAGCTTCTTTGTGATATGTGCATTCAAGTCACAGAGTTCAATATTCCCTTTCACAGAGTAGGTTTGAAACACTCTTTTTGTAGTATCTGGAAGTGGACATTTGGAGCGCCTTGACGCCTACAGTGAAAAGGGAAATATCTTCTCATAAAAAGTAGACAGAAGCAATCTCAGAATTTTCTTTGGGATATATGCACACAGCGAACTGAGTTGAACTTTTCTATTGACATAGCAGTTTTGAAACAGTCTTTCTGTGGAATCTGCAAGTGGATATTTGGATAGCTTGGAGGATTTCGTTGGAAATGGGATTACGTATAAAAAGTAGACAGCAGCATCCTCAGAAACATCCTTGTGATGTGTGCATTCAAGTCACAGAGTTGAACATTCCCTTTCGAACAGCAGTTTTGAAACACTCTTTCTGTAGTATCTGGAAGTGAACTTTAGGAGAGCTTTCAGGTCTATAGTGAGAAAGGATATATCTTCAAATAAAAACTAGACAGAAGCATTCTCATAAACTTGTTTGTGAAGTGTGAACTCAGCTAACAGAGGTGGATCTTTCTTTTGATAGAGCAGTTCTGAAAAACACTTTTTGTTGAATCTGCAAGTGGACATTTGGATAGATTTGAAGATTTCGTTGGAAACGGGAATATCTTCATATCAAATCTAGACAGAAGCATTCTCGGAAACGTCTTTGTGATGTTTGCATTCAACTCATAGAGTTGAACATTCCGTTTCAGAGAGCAGCTTTGAAGCACTCTTTTTGTAGTATGTGCAAGTGGATATTTGGAGCGCTGTGAGGCCTGCAGTGAAAAAGCAAATATCTTCCCATAACCACTAGACTGAAACATTCTCAGAAACTCCTTTATGACGTATGTACTCAACTAACAGAGAAGAACCTTCCTTTTGACAGAGCAGTTTTGATACACTCTTTTTGTAGAATCTGCAAGTGGATATTTGGATAGCTGTGAAGATTTCATTGGAAACGGGAATATCTTCCTATAAAATCTAGACAGAAGCATTCTCAGAAACTGCTCTGTGATGTCTGCATTCAAGTCACAGAGTTGAACATTGCCTTTCATAGAGCAGGTTTGAAACGCTCTTTTTGTAGTATATGGAAGTAGACGTTTCGGACGGTTTGAGGCCCATGGTGATAAAGGGAATATCTTCCCCTACAAGCTAGAAAGAAGCATTCTGTGAAACTTGTTTGTGATGTGTGTACACAACTAACAGAGTTGAACCTTTCTTTTTACAGAGCAGTTTTGAAACACTCTTTTTGTAGAATCTGCGAGGGGATATTTAGATAGATTTCAGGATTTCGTTGGAAACGGGAATATCTTCATATAAAATCTCGACAGAAGCATTCTCAGAAACTTCTTTGTGATATCTGCATTCAAGTCACAGAGTTGAATATTCCCTTTCACAGAGTAGGTTTGAAACACTCTTTTTGTAGTATCTGGAAGTGGACATTTGGAGCGCCTTGACGCCTACGGTGAAAAGGGAAATATCTTCCCATAAAAACTGGACAGAAGCAATCTCAGAATCTTCTTTGGGATATATGCACACAGCTAACAGAGTTGAACCTTTCTATTGACAGAGCAGTTTTGAAACAGTCTTTCTGTGGAATCTGCAAGTGGATATTTGGATAGCTTGGAGGATTTCGTTGGAAACGGGATTACGTATAAAAAGTAGACAGCAGCATCCTCAGAAACTTCTTTGTGATGTGTGCATTCAAGTCACAGAGTTGAACATTCCCTTTCGTACAGCAGTTTTGAAACACTCTTTCTGTAGTATCTGGAAATGAACATTAGGACAGCTTTCAGCTCTATGGTGAGAAAGGAAATATCTTCAAATAAAAACTAGACAGAAGCATTCTCATAAACTTGTTCGTGATGTGTGAACTCAGCTAAGAGCCGTGGATCTTTCTTTTGATAGAGCAGTTCTGAAAAACACTTTTTGTTGAATCTGCAAGTGGACATTTGGATAGATTTGAAGATTTCGTTGGAAACGGGAATATCTTCATATCAAGTCCAGACAGAAGCATTCTCAGAAACGTCTTTGTGATGTTGGCATTCAACTCATAGAGTTGAACATTCCGTTTCAGAGAGCAGCTTTGAGGCACTCTTTTTGTAGTATGTGCAAGTGGATATTTGGAGCGCTCTGAGGCCTACGGTGAAAAAGCAAATATCTTCCCATAACCACTAGACAGAAACATTCTCAGAAACTCCGTTATGACGTATGCACTCACCTAACAGAGAAGAACCTTCCTTTTGACTGAGCAGTTTTGATACACTCTTTTTGCAGAATCTGCAAGTGGATATTTGGATAACTGTGAAGATTTCGTTGGAAACGGGAATATCTTCCTATAAAATCTAGACAGAAGCATTCTCAGAAACTGCTCTGTGATGTCTGCATTCAAGTCACAGAGTTGAACATTGCCTTTCATGGAGCAGGTTTGAAACGCTCTTTTTGTAGTATATGGAAGTGGACGATTCGGACGGTTTGAGGCCCATGGTGATAAAGGGAATATCTTCCCCTACGAGCTAGAAAGAAGCATTCTGTGAAACTTGTTTGTGATGTGTGCACTCAACTAACAGAGTTGAACCTTTCTCTTTACAGAGCAGTTTTGAAACACTCTTTTTGTAGAATCTGCGAGGGGATATTTGGATACATTTCAGGATTTCGCTGGAAACGGGAATATCTTCATATAAAATCTCGACAGAAGCATTCTCAGAAACTTCTTTGTGATATCTGCATTCAAGTCACAGAGTTGAATATTCCCTTTCACAGAGTAGGTTTGAAACACTCTTTTTGTAGTATCTGGAAGTGGACATTTGGAGCGCCTTGACGTCTACGGTGAAAACGGAAATATCTTCCCATAAAAACTAGACAGAAGCAATCTCAGAATCTTCTTTGGGATATATGCACGCAGCTAATAGAGTTGAACCTTTCTATTGACAGAGCAGTTTTGAAACAGTCTTTCTGTGGAATCTGCAAGTGGATATTTGGATAGCTTGGGGGATTTCTTTGGAAACGGGATTACGTATAAAAAGTAGACAGCAGCATCCTCAGAATCTTCCTTGTGACGTGTGCATTCAAGTCACAGAGTTGAACATTCCCTTTCGTACAGCAGTTTTGAAAAACTCTTTCTGTAGTATCGGGAAGTGAACTTTAGGAGAGCTTTCAGGTCTATAGTGAGAAAGGATATATCTTCAAATAAAAACTAGACAGATTCTTTTGATAGAGCATCAGCTAACAGACGTGGATCTTTCTTTTGATACAGCAGTTTTGAAAAACACTTTTTGTTGAATCTGCAAGTGGACATTTGGATAGATATGAAGATTTCGTTGGAAACGGGAATATCTTCATATCAAATCTAGACAGAAGCATTCTCAGAAACGTCTTTGTGATGTTTGCATTCAACTCATAGAGTTGAACATTCCCTTTCAAAGAGCAGCTTTGAAGCACTCTTTTTGTAGTATGTGCAAGGGGATATTTGGAGCTCTCTGAGGCCTAAGGTGAAAAAGCAAATATCTTCCCATAACCACTAGACAGAAACATTCTCAGAAACTCCTTTATGACGTATGTACTCAACTAACAGAGAAGAACCTTCCTTTTGACAGAGCAGTTTTGATACACTCTTTTTGTAGAATCTGCAAGTGGATATTTGGATAGCTGTGAAGATTTCTTTGGAAACGGGAATATCTTCCTATAAAATCTAGACAGAAGCATTCTCAGAAACTGCTCTGTGATGTCTGCATTCAAGTCACAGAGTTGAACATTGCCTTTCATAGAGCAGGTTTGAAACGCTCTTTTTGTAGTATATGGAAGTGGTCTTTTCGGACGGTTTGAGGCCCATGGTGATAAAGGGAATATCTTCCCCTACAAGCTAGAAAGAAGCATTCTGTGAAACTTGTTTGTGATGTGTGTACTCAACTAACAGAGTTGAACCTTCCTTTTTACAGAGCAGTTTTGAAACACTCTTTTTGTAGAATCTGCGAGGGGATATTTGGATAGATTTCAGGATTTCTTTGGAAACGGGAATATCTTCATATAAAATCTCGACAGAAGCATTCTCAGAAACTTCTTTGTGATATGTGCATTCAAGTCACAGTAGTTGAATATTCCCTTTCACAGAGTAGGTTTGAAACACTCTTTTTGTAGTATCTGGAAGTGGACATTTGAAGCGCCTTGACGCCTACGGTGAAAAGGGAAATATCTTCCCATAAAAACTAGACAGAAGCAATCTCAGAATCTTCTTTGGGATATATGCACGCAGCTAACAGAGTTGAACCTTTCTATTGACAGAGCAGTTTTGAAACATTCTTTCTGTGGAATCTGCAAGTGGATATTTGGATAGCTTGCAGGATTTCGTTGGAAACGGGATTACGTATAAAAAGTAGACAGCAGCATCCTCAGAAACTTCTTTGTGATGTGTGCATTCAAGTCACAGAGTTGAACATTCCCTTTCGTACAGCAGTTTTGAAACACTCTTTCTGTAGTATCTGGAAGTGAACATTAGGACAGCTTTCAGGTCTATGGTGAGAAAGGAAATATCTTCAAATAAAAACTAGACAGCAGCATTCTCATAAACTTGTTTGTGATGTGTGAACTCAGCTAACAGGAGGTGGATCTTTCTTTTGATAGAGCAGTTCTGAAAAACACTTTTTGTTGAATCTGCAAGTGGACATTTGGATAGATTTGAATATTTCGTTGGTAACGGGAATATCTTCATATCAAATCTAGACAGAAGCATTCTCAGAAACGTCTTTGTGATGTTTGCATTCAACTCATAGAGTTGAACATTCCCTTTCAGAGAGCAGCTTTGTGGCACTCTTTTTGTAGTATGTGCAAGTAGATATTTGGAGCGCTCTGAGGCCTACGGTGAAAAAGCAAATATCTTCCCATAACCACTAGACAGAAAACATTCTCAGAAACTCCTTTATGAGGTATGCACTCACCTAACAGAGAAGAACCTTCCTTTTGACAGAGCAGTTTTGATACACTCTTTTTGTAGAATCTGCAAGTGGATATTTGGATACCTGTGAAGATTTCGTTGGAAACGGGAATATCTTCCTATAAAATCTAGACAGAAGCATTCTCAGAAACTGCTCTGTGATGTCTGCATTCAAGTCACAGAGTTGAACATTGCCTTTCATAGAGTATGTTTGAAACGCTCTTTTTGTAGTATATGGAAGTAGACGTTTCGGACGGTTTGAGGCCCATGGTGATAAAGGGAATATCTTCCCCTACAAGCTAGAAAGAAGCATTGTGTGAAACTTGTTTGTGATGTGTGTACTCAACTAACAGAGTTGAACCTTTCTTTTTACAGAGCAGTTTTGAAACACTCTTTTTGTAGAATCTGCGAGGGGATATTTGGATACATTTCAGGATTTCCTTGGAAACGGGAATATCTTCATATAAAATCTCGACAGAAGCATTCTCAGAAACTTCTTTGTGTTATCTGCATTCAAGTCACAGAGTTGAATATTCCCTTTCACAGAGTAGGTTTGAAACACTCTTTTTGTAGTGTCTGGAAGTGGACATTTGGAGCACATTGACACCTACGGTGAAAAGGGAAATATCTTCCCATAAAAACTAGACAGAAGCAATCTCAGAATCTTCTTTGGGTTATATGCACGCAGCTAACAGAGTTGAACCTTTCTATTGACAGAGCAGTTTTGAAACAGTCTTTCTGTGGAATCTGCAAGTGGATATTTGGATAGCTTGGAGGATTTCGTTGGAAACGGGATTACGTATAAAAAGTAGACAGCAGCATCCTCAGAAACTTCTTTGTGATGTGTGCATTCAAGTCACAGAGTTGAACATTCCCTTTCGTACAGCAGTTTTCAAACACTCTTTCTGTAGTAACTGGAAGTGAACATTAGGACAGCTTTCAGCTCTATGGTGAGAAAGGAAATATCTTCAAATAAAAACTAGACAGAAGCATTCTCATAAACTTGTTTGTGATGTCTGAACTCAGCTAACAGAGGTGGATCTTTCTTTTGATAGAGCAGTTCTGAAAAACACTTTTTGTTGAATCTGCAAGTGGACATTTGGATAGATTTGAAGATTTCATTGGAAACGGGAATATCTTCATATCAAATCTAGACAGAAGCATTCTCAGAAACGTCTTTGTGATGTTTGCATTCAACTCATAGAGTTGAACATTCCCTTTCAGAGAGCAGCTTTGAAGCACTCTTTTTGTAGCATGTGCAAGTGGACATTTGGAGCGCCCTGAGGCCTACGGGGAAAAAGGAAATATCTTCCCATAACCACTAGACAGAAACATTCTCAGAAACTCCTTTATGACGTATGCACTCACCTAACAGAGAAGAACCTTCTTTTGACAGAGGAGTTTTGATACACTCTTTTTGTAGAATCTGCAAGTGGATATTTGGATAGCTGTGAAGATTTCGTTGGAAACGGGAATATCTTCCTATAAAATCTAGACAGAAGCATTCTCAGAAACAGCTCTGTGATGTCTGCATTCAAGTCACAGAGTTGAACATTGCCTTTCATAGAGCAGGTTTGAAACGCTCTTTTTGTAGTATATGGAGGTGGACGTTTCGGACGGTTTGAGACCCATGGTGATAAAGGGAATATATTCCCCTACAAGCTAGAAAGAAGCACTCTGTGAAACTTGTTTGTGATGTGTGTACTCAACTAACAGTGTTGAACCTTTCTTTTTACAGAGCAGTTTTGAAACACTCTTTTTGTAGAATCTGCGAGGGGATATTTGGATAGATTTCAGGATTTCGTTGGAAACGGGAATATCTTCATATAAAATCTCGACAGAAGCATTCTCAGAAACTTCCTTGTGATATGTGCATTCAAGTCACAGAGTTGAATATTCCCTTTCACAGAGTAGGTTTGAAACACTCTTTTTGTAGTATCTGGAAGTGGACATTTAGAGCGCCTTGACGCCTACGGTGAAAAGGGAAATATCTTCCCATAAAAACTAGACAGAAGCAATCTCAGAATCTTCTTTGGGATATATGCACGCAGCTAACAGAGTTGAACCTTTCTATTGACAGAGCAGTTTTGAAACAGTCTTTCTGTGGAATCTGCAAGTGGATATTTGGATAGATTGGAGGATTTCTTTGGAAACGGGATTAGGTATAAAAAGTAGACAGCAGCATCCTCAGAAACTTCTCTGTGATGTGTGCATTCAAGTCACAGAGTTGAACATTCCCTTTCGTACAGCAGTTTTGAAACACTCTTTCTGTAGTATCTGGAAGTGAACATTAGGACAGCTTTCAGCTCTATGGTGAGAAAGGAAATATCTTCAAATAAAAACTAGACAGAAGCATTCTGATAAACTTGTTTGTGAAGTGTGAACTCAGCTAACAGAGGTGGATCTTTCTTTTGATAGAGCAGTTCTGAAAAACACTTTTTGTTGAATCTGCAAGTGGACATTTGGATAGATTTGAAGATTTCGTTGGAAACGGGAATATCTTCATATCAAATCTAGACAGAAGCATTCTCGGAAACGTCTTGGTCATGTTTGCATTCAACTCATAGAGTTGAACATTCCCTTTCAGAGAGCAGCTTTGAAGCACTCTTTTTGTAGTATGTGCAAGGGGATATTTGGAGCGCTCTGAGGCCTAAGGTGAAAAAGCAAATATCTTCCCATAACCACTAAACAGAAACATTCTCAGAAACTCCTTTATGACGTATGCACTCACCTAACAGAAAAGAACCTTCCTTTTGACAGAGCAGTTTTGATACACTCTTTTTGTAGAACCTGCAAGTGGATATTTGGATAGCTGTGAAGATTTCGTTGGAAACGGGAATATCTTCCTATAAAATCTAGACAGAAGCATTCTCAGAAACTGCTCTGTGATGTCTGCATTCAACTCACAGAGTTGAACATTGCCTTTCATAGAGCAGGTTTGAAACGCTCTTTTTGTAGTATATGGAAGTGGACGTTTCAGACGGTTTGAGGCCCATGGTGATAAAGGGAATATCTTCCCCTACAAGCTAGAAAGAAGCATTCTGTGAAACTTGTTTGTGATGTGTGTACTCAACTAACAGAGTTGAACCTTTCTTTTTCCAGAGCAGTTTTGAAACACTCTTTTTGTAGAATCTGCGAGGGGATATTTGGATACATTTCAGGATTTCGTTGGAAACGGGAATATCTTCATATAAAATCTCGACAGAAGCATTCTCAGAAAACTTCTTTGTGATATGTGCATTCAAGTCAGAGAGTTGAATATTCCCTTTCACAGAGTAGGTTTGAAACACTCTTTCTGTAGTATCTGGAAGTGGACATTTTGAGCACCTTGACGCCTACGGTGAAAAGGGAAATATCTTCTCATAAAAAGTAGACAGAAAGCAATCTCAGAATCTTCTTTGGGATATATGCACGCAGCTAACAGAGTTGAACATTTCTATTGACAGAGCAGTTTTGAAACAGTCGTTCTGTGGAATCTGCAAGTGGATATTTCGATAGCTTGGAGGATTTCGTTGGAAACGGGATTACGTATCAAAAGTACACAGCAGCATCCTCAGAAACTACTTTGTGATGTGTGCATTCAAGTCACAGAGTTGAACATTCCCTTTCGTACAGCAGTTTTGAAACACTCTTTCTGTAGTATCTGGAAGTGAACATTAGGACAGCTTGCAGGTCTATGGTGAGAAGGGAAATATCTTCAAATAAAAACTAGACAGAAGCATTCTCATAAACTTGTTTGTGATGTGTGAACTCAGCTAACAGACGTGAATCTTTCTTTTGATACAGCAGTTTTAAAAACACTTTTTGTTGAATCTGCAAGTGGACATTTGGATAGATTTGAAGATTTCGTTGGAAACGGGAATATCTTCATATCAAATCTAGACAGAAGCATTCTCAGAAACGTTTTTGTGATGTTTGCATTCAACTCATAGAGTTGAACATTCCCTTTCAGAGAGCAGCTTTGAAGCACTCTTTTTGTAGCATGTGCAAGTGGACATTTGGAGCGCCCTGAGGCCTACGGGGAAAAAGCAAATATCTTCCCATAACCACTAGACAGAAACATTCTCAGAAACTCCTTTATGACGTATGCACTCACCTAACAGAGAAGAACCTTCCTTTTGACAGAGCAGTTTTGATACACTCTTTTTGTAGAATCTGCAAGTGGATATTTGGATAGCTGTAAAGATTTCGTTGGAAACGGGAATATCTTCCTATAAAATCTAGACAGAAGCATTCTCAGAAACTGCTCTGTGATGTCTGCATTCAAGTGACAGAGTTGAACATTGCCTTTCATAGAGCAGGTTTCAAACACTCTTTTTTTAGTATATGGAAGTGGACGTTTCGGACGGTTTGAGAACCATGGTGATAAAGGAAATATCTTCCCCTACAAGCTAGAAAGAAGCATTGTGTGAAACTTGTTTGTGATGTGTGTACTCAACTAACAGAGTTGAACCTTTCTTTTTACAGAGCAGTTTTGAAACACTCTTTTTGTATAATCTGCGAGGGGATATTTGGATACATTTCAGGATTTCGTTGGAAACGGGAATATCTTCATATAAAATCTCGACAGAAGCATTCTCAGAAGCTTCTTTGTGATATGTGCATTCAAGTCACACAGTTGAATATTCCCTTTCACAGAGTAGGTTTGAAACACTCTTTTTGTAGTATCTGGAAGTGGACATTTGGAGCGCCTTGACGCCTACGGTGAAAAGGGAAATATCTTCTCATAAAAAGTAGACAGAAGCAATCTCAGAATCTTCTTTGGGATGTATGCACGCAGCTAACAGAGTTGAACCTTTCTATTGACAGAGCAGTTTTGAAACAGTCTTTTTGTGGAATCTGCAAGTGGATATTTGGATAGCTTGGAGGATTTCGTTGGAAACGGGATTACGTATAAAAAGTAGACAGCAGCATCCTCAGAAACTTCTTTGTGATGTGTGCATTGAAGTCACAGAGTTGAACATTCCCTTTCGTACAGCAGTTTTGAAACACTCTTTCTGTAGTATCTGGAAGTGAACATTAGGACAGCTTTCAGGTCTATGGTGAGAAAGGAAATATCTTCAAATAAAAACTAGACAGAAGCATTCTCATAAACTTGTTTGTGATGTGTGAACTCAGCTAAGAGACCTGGATCTTTCTTTTGATAGAGCAGTTCTGAAAAACACTTTTTGTTGAATCTGCAAGTGGACATTTGGATAGATTTGAAGATTTCTTTGGAAACGGGAATATCTTCATATCAAATCTAGACAGAAGCATTCTCAGAAACGTCTTTGTGATGTTTGCATTCAACCCATAGAGTTGAACATTCCGTTTCAGAGAGCAGCTTTGAAGCACTCTTTTTGTAGTATGTGCAAGGGGATATTTGGAGCGCTCTGAGGCCTAAGGTGAAAAAGCAAATATCTTCCCATAACCACTAGACAGAAACATTCTCAGAAACTCCTTTATGACGTATGTACTCAACTAACAGAGAAGAACCTTCCTTTTGACAGAGCAGTTTTGATACACTCTTTTTGTAGAATCTGCAAGTGGATATTTGGATAGCTGTGAAGATATCGTTGGAAACGGGAATATCTTCCTATAAAATCTAGACAGAAGCATTCTCAGAAACTGCTCTGTGATGTCTGCATTCAAGTCACAGAGTTGAACATTGCTTTTCATAGAGCAGGTTTGAAACGTTCTTTTTGTAGTATATGGAAGTAGACGTTTCGGACGCTTTGAGGCCCATGGTGATAAAGGGAATATCTTCCCCTACAAGCTAGAAAGAAGCATTCTGTGAAACTTGTTTGTGATGTGTGTACTCAACTAACAGAGTTGAACCTTTCTTTTTACAGAGCAGTTTTGAAACACTCTTTTTGTAGAATCTGCGAGGGGATATTTGGATAGATTTAGGATTTCGTTGGAAACGGGAATATCTTCATATAAAATCTCGACAGAAGCATTCTCAGAAACTTCTTTGTGATATCTGCCTTTAAGTCACAGAGTTGAATATTCCCTTTCACAGAGTAGGTTTGAAACACTCTTTTTGTAGTATCTGGAAGTGGACATTTGGAGCGCATTGACGCCTACGGTGAAAAGGGAAATATCTTCCCATAAAAACTAGACAGAAGCAATCTCAGAATTTTCTTTGGGATATATGCACACAGCTAACAGAGTTGAACTTTTCTATTGACATAGCAGTTTTGAAACAGTCTTTCTGTGGAATCTGCAAGTGGATATTTGGATAGCTTGGAGGATTTCGTTGGAAATGGGATTACGTATAAAAAGTAGACAGCAGCATCCTCAGAAACTTCTTTGTGATGTGTGCATTCAAGTCACAGAGTTGAACATTCCCTTTCGTACAGCAGTTTTGAAACACTCTTTCTGTAGTGTCTGGAAGTGAACATTAGGACAGCTTTCAGGTCTATGGTGAGAAAGGAAATATCTTCAAATAAAAACTAGACAGAAGCATTCTCATAAACTTGTTTGTGATGTGTGAACTCAGCTAAGAGACGTGGATCTTTCTTTTGATAGAGCAGTTCTGAAAAACACGTTTTGTTGAATCTGCAAGTGGACATTTGGATAGATTTGAAGATTTCGTTGGAAACGGGAATATCGTCATATCAAATCTAGACAGAAGCATTCTCGGAAACGTCTTTGTCATGTTTGCATTCAACTCATAGAGTTGAACATTCCGTTTCAGAGAGCAGCTTTGAAGCACTCTTTTTGTAGTATGTGCAAGTGGATATTTGGATCGCTCTGAGGCCTAAGGTGAAAAAGCAAATATCTTCCCATAACCACTAGACAGAAACATTCTCAGAAACTCCTTTATGACGTATGCACTCACCCAACAGAGAAGAACCTTCCTTTTGACAGAGCAGTTTTGATACACTCTTTTTGTAGAATCTGCAAGTGGATATTTGGATAGCTGTGAAGATTTCGTTGGAAACGGGAATATCTTCCTATAAAATCTAGACAGAAGCATTCTCAGAAACTGCTCTGTGATATCTGTATTCAAGTCACAGAGTTGAACATTGCCTTTCATAGAGCAGGTTTGAAACGCTCTTTTTGTAGTATATGTAAGTGGATGTTTCGGACGGTTGGAGGCCCATGGTGATAAAGGGAATATCTTCCCCTACAAGCTAGAAAGAAGCATTCTGTGAAACTTGTTTGTGATGTGTGTACTCAACTAACAGAGTTGAACCTTTCTTTTTACAGAGCAGTTTTGAAACACTCTTTTTGTAGAATCTGCGGGGGGATATTTGGATAGATTTCAGGATTTCGTTGGAAACGGGAATATCTTCATATAAAATCTCGACAGAAGCATTCTCAGAAACTTCTTTGTGATATCTGCATTCAGGTCACAGAGTTGAATATTCCCTTTCACCGAGTAGGTTTGAAACATTCTTTTTGTAGTATCTGGAAGTGGACATTTGGAGCGCCATGACGCCTACGGTGAAAAGGGAAATATCTTCCCATAAAAACTAGACAGAAAGCAATCTCAGAATCTTCTTTGGGATATATGCACGCAGCTAACAGAGTTGAACCTTTCTATTGACAGAGCAGTTTTGAAACAGCCTTTCTGTGGAATCTGCAAGTGGATATTTGGATAGCTTGGAGGATTTCGTTGGAAACGGGATTACGTATAAAAAGTAGACAGCAGCATCCTCAGAAACTTCTTTGTGACGTGTGCATTCAAGTCACAGAGTTGAACATTCCCTTTCGTACAGCAGTTTTGAAACACTCTTTCTGTAGTATCTGGAAGTGAACATTAGGACAGCTTTCAGCTCTATGGTGAGAAAGGAAATATCTTCAAATAAAAACTAGACAGAAGCATTCTCATTAACTTGTTTGTGATGTGTGAACTCAGCTAACAGAGGTGGATCTTTCTTTTGATAGAGCAGTTCTGAAAAACATTTTTTGTTGAATCTGCAAGTGGACATTTAGATAGATTTGAAGATTTCGTTGGAAACGGGAATATCTTCATATCAAATCTAGACAGAAGCCTTCTCAGAGACGTCTTTGTGATGTTTGCATTCAACTCATAGAGTTGAACATTCCGTTTCAGAGAGCAGCTTTGAGGCACTCTTTTTGTAGTATGTGCAAGTGGATATTTGGAGCGCTCTGAGGCCTACGGTGAAAAAGCAAATATCTTCCCATAACCACTAGACAGAAACATTCTCAGAAACTCCTTTACGACGTATGCACTCACCTAACAGAGAAGAACCTTCCTTTTGACAGAGCAGTTTTGATACACTCTTTTTGTAGAATCTGCAAGTGGATATTTGGATAGCTGTGAAGATTTCGTTGGAAACGGGAATATCTTCCTATAAAATCTAGACAGAAGCATTTTCAGAAACTGCTCTGTGATGTCTGCATTCAAGTCACAGAGTTGAACATTGCCTTTCATAGAGCAGGTTTGAAACGCTCTTTTTGTAGTATATGGAAGTGGATGTTTCGGACGGTTGGAGGCCCATGGTGATAAAGGGAATATCTTCCCCTACAAGCTAGAAAGAAGCATTCTGTGAAACTTGTTTGTGATATGTGCACTCAACTAACAGAGTTGAACCTTTCTTTTTACAGAGCAGTTTTGAAACACTCTTTCTGTAGAATCTGCGAGGGGATATTTGGATAGATTTCAGGATTTCGTTGGAAACGGGAATATCTTCATATAAAATCTCGACAGAAGCATTCTCCGAAACCTCTTTGTGATATATGCATTGAAGTTACAGAGTTGAATATTCCCTTTCACATAGCAGGTTTGAAACACTCTTTTTGTAGTATCTGGAAGTGGACATTGGGAGCGCTTTGACGCCAATGGTGAAAAAGGAAATATCTTCCCATAAAAACTACACAGAAGCAATCTCAGAATCTTCTTTGGGATATATGCACGCAGTTAACAGAGTTGAACCTTTCTATTGACAGAGCAGTTTTGAAACAGTCTTTCTGTGGAATCTGCAAGTGGATATTTGGATAGCTTGGAGGATTTCGTTGGAAACGGGATTACGTATAAAAAGTAGACAGCAGCATCCTCAGAAACTTCTTTGTGATGTGTGCATTCAAGTCACAGAGTTGAACATTCCCCTTCGTACAGCAGTTTTGAAACACTCTTTGTGTATTATCTGGGAGTGAACATTAGGACAGCTTTCAGGTCTATGGTGAGAAAGGAAATATCTTCAAATAAAAACTAGACAGAAGCATTCTCATAAACTTGTTTGTGATGTGTGAACTCAGCTAACAGACGTGGATCTTTCTTTTGATACAGCAGTTTTGAAAAACACTTTTTGTTGAATCTGCAAGTGGACATTTGGATAGATATGAAGATTTCGTTGGAAACGGGAATATCTTCATATCAAATCTAGACAGAAGCATTCTCAGAAACGTCTTTGTGATGTTTGCATTCAACTCATAGAGTTGAACATTCCGTTTCCAAGAGCAGCTTTGAGGCACTCTTTTTGTAGTATGTGCAAGTGGATATTTGGAGCGCTCTGAGGCCTACGGTGAAAAAGCAAATATCTTCCCATAACCACTAGACAGAAACATTCTCAGAAACTCCTTTATGACGTATGTACTCAACTAACAGAGAAGAACCTTCCTTTTGACAGAGCAGGTTTGATACACTCTTTTTGTAGAATCTGCAAGTGGATATTTGGATAGCTGTGAAGATTTCGTTGGAAACGGGAATATCTTCCTATAAAATCCAGACAGAAGCATTCTCAGAAACTGCTCTGTGATGTCTGCATTCAAGTCACAGAGTTGAACATTGCCTTTCCTAGAGCAGGTTTGAAACGATCTTTTTGTAGTATATGGAAGTGGACGTTTCGGACGGTTTGAGGCCCATGGTGATAAAGGGAATATCTTCCCCTACAAGCTAGAAAGAAGCATTCTGTGAAACTTGTTTGTGATGTGTGTACTCAACTAACAGAGTTGAACCTTTCTTTTTACAGAGCAGTTTGGAAACACTCTTTTTGTAGAATCTGCGAGGGGATATTTGGATAGATTTCAGGATTTCGTTGGAAACGGGAATATCTTCATATAAAATCTCGACAGAAGCATTCTCAGAAACTTCTTTGTGATATCTGCATTCAAGTCACAGAGTTGAATATTCCCTTTCACAGAGTAGGTTTGAAACACTCTTTTTGTAGTATCTGGAAGTGGACATTTGGAGCGCCTTGACGCCTACGGTGAAAAGGGAAATATCTTCCCATAAAAACTAGACAGAAGCAATCTCAGGAATCTTCTTTGGGATATATGCACGCAGCTAACAGAGTTGAACCTTTCTATTGACAGAGCAGTTTTGAAACAGTCTTTCTGTGGAATCTGCAAGTGGATATTTGGATAGCTTGGAGGATTTCGTTGGAAACGGGATTAAGTATAAAAAGTAGACAGCAGCATCCTCAGAAACTTCTTTGTGCGGTGTGCATTCAAGTCACAGAGTTGAACATTCCCTTTCGTACAGCAGTTTTGAAACACTCTTTCTGTAGTATCTGGAAGTGAACATTAGGACAGCTTTCAGGTCTATGGTGAGAAAGGAAATATCTTCAAATAAAAACTAGACAGAAGCATTCTCATAAACTTGTTTGTGATGTGTGAACTCAGCTAACAGAGGTGGATCTTTCTTTTGATAGAGCAGTTCTGAAAAACACTTTTTGTTGATTATGCAAGTGGACATTTGGATAGATTTGAAGATTTCGTTGGAAACGGGAATATCTTCATATCAAATGTAGACAGAAGCATTCTCAGAAACGTCTTTGTGATGTTTGCATTCAACTCACAGAGTTGAACATTCCGTTTCAGAGAGCAGCTTTGAAGCACTCTTTTTGTAGTATGTGCAAGTGGATATTTGGAGCGCTCTGAGGCCTACGGTGAAAAAGCAAATATCTTCCCATAACCACTAGACAGAAACATTCTCAGAAACTCCTTTATGACGTATGCACTCACCTAACAGAGAAGAACCTTCCTTTTGACAGAGCAGTTTTGATACACTCTTTTTGTAGAATCTGCAAGTGGATATTTGGATAGCTGTGAAGATTTCGTTGGAAACGAGAATATCTTCCTATAAAATCTAGACAGAAGCATTCTCAGAAACTGCTCTGTGATGTCTGCATTCAAGTCACAGAGTTGAACATTGCTTTTCATAGAGCAGGTTTGAAACGCTCTTTTTGTAGTATATGGAAGTAGACGTTTCGGACGGTTTGAGGCCCATGGTGATAAAGGGAATATCTTCCCCTACAAGCTAGAAAGAAGCATTCTGTGAAACTTGTTTGTGATGTGTGTACTCAACTAACAGAGTTGAACCTTTCTTTTTACAGAGCAGTTTTGAAACACTCTTTTTGTAGAATCTGCGAGGGGATATTTTGATACATTTCAGCATTTCGTTGGAAACGGGAATATCTTCATATAAAATCTCGACAGAAGCATTCTCAGAAACTTCCTTGTGATATGTGCATTCAAGTCACAGAGTTGAATATTCCCTTTCACAGAGTAGGTTTGAAACACTCTTTTTGTAGTATCTGGAAGTGGTCATTTGGAGCGCCTTGACGCCTACGGTGAAAAGGGAAATATCTTCCCATAAAAACTAGACAGAAGCAATCTCAGAATCTTCTTTGTGATATATGCACGCAGCTAACAGAGTTGAACCTTTCTATTGACTGAGCAGATTTGAAACAGTCTTTCTGTGGAATCTGCAAGTGGATATTTGGATAGATTGGAGGATTTCGTTGGAAACGGAATTACGTATAAAAAGTAGACAGCAGCATCCTCAGAAACTTCTTTGTGATGTGTGCATTCAAGTCACAGAGCTGAACATTCCCTTTCGTACAGCAGTTTTGAAACACTCTTTCTGTAGTATCTGGAAGTGAACATTAGGACAGCTTTCAGGTCTATGGTGAGAAAGGAAATATCTTCAAATAAAAACTAGACAGAAACATTCTCATAAACTTGTTTGTGATGTGTGAACTGAGCTAACAGAGGTGGATCTTTCTTTTGATAGAGCAGTTCGGAAAAACACTTTTTGTTGAATCTGCAAGTGGACATTTGGATAGATTTGAAGATTTCGTTGGAAACGGGAATATCTTCATATCAAATCTAGACAGAAGCATTCTCAGAAACGTCTTTGTGATGTTTGCATTCAACTCATAGAGTTGAACATTCCCTTTCAGAGAGCAGCTTTGAAGCACTCTTTTTGTAGCATGTGCAAGTGGACATTTGGAGCGCTCTGAGGCCTACGGTGAAAAAGCAAATATCTTCCCATAACCACTAGACAGAAACATTCTCAGAAACTCCTTTATGAAGTATGCACTCACCTAACAGAGAAGAACCTTCCTTTTGACAGAGCAGTTTTGATAAACTCTTTTTGTAGAATCTGCAAGTGGATATTTGGATAGCTGTGAAGATTTCGTTGGAAACGGGAATATCTTCCTATAAAATCTAGACAGAAGCATTCTCAGAAACTGCTCTGCGATGTCTGCATTCAAGTCACAGAGTTGAACATTGCTTTTCATAGAGCAGGTTTGAAGCGCTCTTTTTGTAGTATATGGAAGTAGACGTTTCGGACGGTTTGAGGCCCATGGTGATAAAGGGAATATCTTCCCCTACAAGCTAGAAAGAAGCATTCTGAGAAACTTGTTTGTGATGTGTGTACTCAACTAAGAGAAGTGAACCTTTCTTTTTACAGAGCAGTTTTGAAACACTCTTTTTCTAGAATCTGCGAGGGGATATTTGGATAGATTTCAGAATTTCGTTGTAAACGGGAATATCTTCATATAAAATCTCGACAGAAGCATTCTCAGGAAACTTCTTTGTGATATCTGCATTCAAGTCACAGAGTTGAATATTCCCTTTCACAGAGTAGGTTTGAAACACTCTTTTTGTAGTATCTGGAAGTGGACATTTGGAGCACCTTGACACCTACGGTGAAAAGGGAAATATCTTCCCATAAAAACTAGACAGAAGCAATCTCAGAATCTTCTTTGGGATATATGCACGCAGCTAACAGAGTTGAACCTTTCTATTGACAGAGCAGTTTTGAAACACTCTTTCTGTGGAATCTGCAAGTGGATATTTGGATAGCTTGGAGGATTTCGTTGGAAACGGGATTACGTATAAAAAGTAGACAGCAGCATCCTCAGAAACTTCTTTGTGATGTGTGCATTCAAGTCACAGAGTTGAACATTCCCTTTCGTACAGCAGTTTTGAAACACTCTTTCTGTAGTATCTGGAAGTGAACATTAGGACAGCTTTCAGGTCGATGGTGAGAAAGGAAATATCTTCAAATAAAAACTAGATAGAAGCATTCTCATAAACTTGTTTGTGATGTGTGAACGCAGCTAACACACGTGGATCTTTCTTTTGATAGAGCAGTTCTGAAAAACACTTTTTGTTGAATCTGCAAGTGGACATTTGGATAGATTTGAAGATTTCGTTGGAAACGGGAATATCTTCATATCAAATCTAGACAGAAAGCATTCTCAGAAACGTCTTTGCGATGTTTGCATTCAACTCATAGAGTTGAACATTCCGTTTCAGAGAGCAGCTTTGAGGCACTCTTTTTGTAGTATGTGCAAGTGGATATTTGGAGCGCTCTGAGGCCTACGGTGAAAAAGCAAATATCTTCCCATAACCACTAGACAGAAACATTCTCAGAAACTCCTTTATGACGTATGCACTCACCTAACAGAGAAGAACCTTCCTTTTGACAGAGCAGTTTTGATACACTCTTTTTGTAGAATCTGCAAGTGGATATTTGGATAGCTGTGAAGATTTCGTTGGAAACGGAAATATCTTCCTATAAAATCTAGACAGAAAGCATTCTCAGAAACTGCTCTGTGATGTCTGCATTCAAGTCACAGAGTTGAACATTGCCTTTCATAGAGCAGGTTTGAAACGCTCTTTTTGTAGTATATGGAAGTAGACGTTTCGGACGGTTTGAGGCCCATGGTGATAAAGGGAATATCTTCCCCTACAAGCTAGAAAGAAGCATTCTGTGAAACTTGTTTGTGATGTGTGTACTCAAGTAACAGAGTTCAACCTTTCTTTTTACAGAGCAGTTTTGAAACACTCTTTTTGTAGAATCTGCGAGGGGATATTTGGATAGATTTCAGGATTTCGTTGGAAACGGGAATATCTTCATATAAAATCTCGACAGAAGCATTCTCAGAAACTTCTTTGTGATATCTGCATTCAAGTCACAGAGTTGAATATTCCCTTTCACAGAGTAGGTTTGAAACACTCTTTTTGTAGTGTCTGGAAGTGGACATTTGGAGCACATTGACAACTACGGTGAAAAGGGAAATATCTTCCCATAAAAACTAGACAGAAGCAATCTCAGAATCTTCTTTGGGATATATGCACGCAGCTAAGAGAGTTGAACCTTTCTATTGACAGAGCAGTTTTGTAACAGTCTTTCTGTGGAATCTGCAAGTGGATATTTGGATAGCTTGGAGGATTTCGTTGGAAACGGGATTACCTATAAAAAGTAGACAGCAGCATCCTCAGAAACTTCTTTGTGATGTGTGCATTCAAGTCACAGAGTTGAACATTCCCTTTCGTACAGCAGTTTTGAAAAACTCTTTCTGTAGTGTCTGGAAGTGAACATTAGGACAGCATTCAGGTCTATGGTGAGAAAGGAAATATCTTCAAATAAAAACTACACAGAAGCATTCTCATAAACTTGTTTGTGATGTGTGAACTCAGCTAAGAGACGTGGATCTTTCTTTTGATAGAGCAGTTCTGAAAAACACTTTTTGTTGAATCTGCAAGTGGACATTTGGATAGATTTGAAGATTTCTTTGGAAATGGGAATATCTTCATATCAAATCTAGAGAGAAGCATTCTCAGAAACGTCTTTGTCATGTTTGCATTCAACTCATAGAGTTGAACATTCCCTTTCAGAGAGCAGCTTTGAAACACTCTTTTTGTAGTATGTGCAAGTGGATATTTGGAGCGCTCTGAGGCCTACGGTGAAAAAGAAAATATCTTCCCATAACCACTAGACAGAAACTTTCTCAGAAACTCCTTTATGACGTATGTACTCAACTAACAGAGAAGAACCTTCCTTTTGAGAGAGCAGTTTTGATACACTCTTTTTGTAGAAACTGCAAGTGGATATTTGGATAGCTGTGAAGATTTCGTTGGAAACGGGAATATCTTCCTATAAAATCTAGACAGAAGCATTCTCAGAAACTGCTCTGTGATGTCTGCATTCAAGTCACAGAGTTGAACATTGCCTTTCATAGAGCAGGTTTGAAATGCTCTTTTCGTAGTATATGGAAGTGGACTTTTCGGACGGTTTGAGGCCCATGGTGATAAAGGGAATATCTTCCCCTACAAGCTAGAAAGAAGCATTCTGTGAAACTTTTTTGTGATGTGTGTACTCAACTAACAGAGTTGAACCTTTCTTTTTACAGAGCAGTTTTGAAACACTCTTTTTGTAGAATCTGCGAGGGGATATTTGGATAGATTTCAGGATTTCGTTCGAAACGGGAATATCTTCATATAAAATCTCGACAGAAGCATTCTCAGAAGCTTCTTTGTGATATGTGCATTCAAGTCACAGAGTTGAATATTCCCGTTCACAGAGTAGGTTTGAAACACTCTTTTTGTAGTATCTGGAAGTGGACATTTGGAGCGCCCTGACGCCTACGGTGAAAAGGAAAATATCTTCTCATAAAAAGTAGACAGATAAGCAATCTCAGAATCTTCTTTGGGATATATGCACGCAGCTAACAGAGTTGAACCTTTCTATTGACAGAGCAGTTTTGAAACAGTCTTTCTGTGGAATCTGCAAGTGGATATTTGGATAGCTTGGAGGATTTCGTTGGAAACGGGATTACGTATAAAAAGTAGACAGCAGCATCCTGAGAAACTTCCTTGTGATGTGTGCATTCAAGTCACAGAGTTGAACATTCCCTTTCGTACAGCAGTTTTGAAACACTCTTTCTGTAGTATCTGGAAGTGAACATTAGGACAGCGTTTCAGGTCTATGGTGAGAAAGGAAATATCTTCAAATAAAAACTAGACAGAAGCATTCTCATAAACTTGTTCGTGATGTGTGAACTCAGCTAAGAGCCGTGGATCTTTCTTTTGATAGAGCAGTTCTGAAAAACACTTTTTGTTGAATCTGCAAGTGGACATTTGGATAGATTTGAAGATTTCTTTGGAATCGGGAATATCTTCATATCAAATCTAGACAGAAGCATTCTCAGAAACGTCTTTGTGATGTTTGCATTCAACTCATAGAGTTAAACATTCCGTTTCAGAGAGCAGCTTTGAAGCACTCTTTTTGTAGTATGTGCAAGTGGATATTTGGAGCGCTCTGAGGCCTACGGTGAAAAAGCAAATATCTTCCCATAACCACTAGACAGAAACATTCTCAGAAACTCCTTTATGACGTATGCACTCACCTAACAGAGAAGAACCTTCCTTTTGACAGAGCAGTTTTGATACACTCTTTTTGTAGAATCTGCAAGTGGATATTTGGATACCTGTGAAGATTTCGTTGGAAACGGGAATAACTTCCTATAAAATCTAGACAGAAGCATTCTCAGAAACTGCTCTGTGATGTCTGCATTCAAGTCACAGAGTTGAACATTGCCTTTCATAGAGCAGGTTTGAAACGCTCTTTTTGTAGTATATGGAAGTGGATGTTTCGGACGGTTGGAGCCCCATGGTGATAAAGGGAATATCTTCCCCTACAAGC
Source organism: Homo sapiens (assembly GCF_000001405.40). Classification (NCBI taxonomy): domain Eukaryota; kingdom Metazoa; phylum Chordata; class Mammalia; order Primates; family Hominidae; genus Homo; species Homo sapiens. The sequence goes on from NC_000013.11 coordinate 17,238,104, forward strand.
TAGAAAGAAGCATTCTGTGAAACTTGTTTGTGATGTGTGTACTCAACTAACAGAGTTGAACCTTTCTTTTCACAGAGCAGTTTTGAAACACTCTTTTTGTAGAATCTGCGAGGGGATATTTGGATAGATTTCAGGATTTCGTTGGAAACGGGAATATCTTCATATAAAATCTCGACAGAAGCATTCTCAGAAACTTCATTGTGATATGCGCATTCTAGTCACAGAGTTGAATATTCCCTTTCACAGAGTAGGTTTGAAACACTCTTTTTGTAGTATCTGGAAGTGGACATTTGGAGCGCCTTGACGCCTACGGTGAAAAGGGAAATATCTTCCCATAAAAAGTAGACAGAAGCAATCTCAGAATCTTCTTTGGGATATATGCACGCAGCTAACAGAGTTGAACCTTTCTATTGACAGAGCAGTTTTGAAACAGTCTTTCTGTGGAATCTGCAAGTGGATATTTGGATAGCTTGGAGGATTTCGTTGGAAACGGGAGTACGTATAAAAAGTAGACAGCAGCATCCTCAGAAACTTCTTTGTGAGGTGTGCATTCAAGTCACAGAGTTGAACATTCCCTTTCGTGCAGCAGTTTTGAAACACTCTTTCTGTAGTATCTGGAAGTGAACATTAGGACAGCTTTCAGGTCTATGGTGAGAAAGGAAATATCTTCAAATAAAAACTAGACAGAAGCATTCTCATAAACTTGTTTGTGATGTCTGAACTCAGCTAACAGAGGTGGATCTTTCTTTTGATAGAGCAGTTCTGAAAAACACTTTCTGTTGAATCTGCAAGTGGACATTTGGATAGATTTGAAGATTTCGTTGGAAACGGGAAGATCTTCATATCAAATCTAGACAGAAGCATTCTCAGAAACGTCTTTGTGATGTTTGCATTCAAATCATAGAGTTGAACATTCCCTTTCAGAGAGCAGCTTTGAAGCATTCTTTTTGTAGTATGTGCAAGGGGATATATGGAGCGCTCTGAGGCCTAAGGTGAAAAAGCAAATATCTTCCCATAACCACTAGACAGAAACATTCTCAGAAACTCCTTTATGACGTATGCACTCACCTAACAGAGAAGAACCTTCCTTTTGACAGAGCACTTTTGATACACTCTTTTTGTAGAATCTGAAAGTGGATATTTGGATAGCTGTGAAGATTTCGTTGGAAACGGGAATATCTTCCTATAAATTCTAGACAGAAGCATTCTCAGAAACTGCTCTGTGATGTCTGCATTCAAGTCACAGAGTTGAACATTGCCTTTCCTAGAGCAGGTTTGAAACGCTCTTTTTGTAGTATATGGAAGTGGACGTTTCGGACGGTTTGAGGCCCACGGTGATAAAGGGAATATCTTCCCCTACAAGCTAGAAAGAAGCATTCTGTGAAACTTGTTTGTGATGTGTGTACTCAAGTAACAGAGTTGAACCTTTCTTTTTACAGAGCAGTTTTGAAACACTCTTTCTGTAGAATCTGCGAGGGGATATTTGGATACATTTCAGGATTTCGTTGGAAACGGGAATATCTTCATAGAAAATCTCGACAGAAGCATTCTCAGAAACTTCTTTGTGATATGTGCATTAAAGTCACAGAGTTGAATATTCCCTTTCACAGAGTAGGTTTGAAACACTCTTTTTGTAGTATCTGGAAGTGGACATTTGGAGCGCCTTGACGCCCTACGGTGAAAAGGGAAATATCTTCCCATAAAAACTAGACAGAAGCAATCTCAGAATCTTCTTTGGGATATATGCACGCAGCTAACAGAGTTGAACCTTTCTATTGACAGAGCAGTTTTGAAACAGTCTTTCTGTGGAATCTGCAAGTGGATATTTGGATAGCTTGGAGGATTTCGTTGGAAACGGGATTAAGTATAAAAAGTAGACAGCAGCATCCTCAGAAACTTCTTTGTGATGTGTGCATTCAAGTCACAGAGTTGAGCATTCCCTTTCGTACAGCAGTTTTCAAACACTCTTTCTGTAGTAACTGGAAGTGAACATTAGGACAGCTTTCAGGTCTATGGTGAGAAAGGAAATATCTTCAAATAAAAACTAGACAGAAGCATTCTGATAAACTTGTTTGTGAAGTGTGAACTCAGCTAACAGAGGTGGATCTTTCTTTGGTACAGCAGTTTTGAAAAACACTTTGTTGAATCTGCAAGGGGACATTTGGATAGATTTGAAGATTACGTTGGAAACGGGAATATCTTCATATCAAATCTAGACAGAAGCATTCTCGGAAACGTCTTTGTGATGTTTGCATTCAACTCATAGAGTTGAACATTCCGTTTCAGAGAGCAGCTTTGAGGCACTCATTTTGTAGTATGTGCAAGTGGACATTTGGAGCGCTCTGAGGCCTTCGGTGAAAAAGCAAATATCTTCCCATAACCACTAGACAGAAACATTCTCACAAACTCCTTTATGACGTATGTACTCAACTAACAGAGAAGAACCTTCCTTTTGACAGAGCAGTTTTGATACACTCTTTTTGTAGAATCTGCAAGTGGATATTTGGATAGCTGTGAAGATTTCGTTGGAAACGGGAATATCTTCCTATAAAATCTAGACAGAAGCATTCTCAGAAACTGCTATGTGATGTCTGCATTCAAGTCACAGAGTTGAACATTGCCTTTCCTAGAGCAGGTTTGAAACGCTCTTTTTGTAGTATATGGAAGTGGAAGTTTCGGACGGTTTGAGGCCCATGGTGATAAAGGGAATATCTTCCCCTACAAGCTAGAAAGAAGCATTCTGTGAAACTTGTTTGTGATGTGTGTACTCAACTAATAGAGTTGAACCTTTCTTTTTACAGAGCAGTTTTGAAACACTCTTTTTGTAGAATCTGCGAGGGGATATTTGGATAGATTTCAGGATTTCGTTGGAAACGGGAATATCTTCATATAAAATCTCGACAGAAGCATTCTCAGAAGCTTCTTTGTGATATGTGCATTCAAGTCACAGAGTTCAATATTCCCTTTCACAGAGTAGGTTTGAAACACTCTTTTTGTAGTATCTGGAAGTGGACATTTGGAGAGCCTTGACGCCTACGGTGAAAAGGGAAATATCTTCTCATAAAAAGTAGACAGAAGCAATCTCAGAATCTTCTTTGGGATATATGCACGCAGCTAACAGAGTTGAACCTTTCTATTGACAGAGCAGTTTTGAAACAGTCTTTCTGTGGAATCTGCAAGTGGATATTTGGATAGCTTGGAGGATTTCGTTGGAAACGGGATTACGTAGAAAAAGTAGACAGCAGCATCCTCAGAAACTTCTTTGTGATGTGTGCATTCAAGTCACAGAGTTGAACATTCCCTTTCGTACAGCAGTTTTGAAACACTCTTTCTGTAGTATCTGGAAGTGATCATTAGGACAGCTTTCAGGTCTATGGTGAGAAAGGAAATATCTTCAAATAAAAACTAGACAGAAGCATTCTCATAAACTTGTTTGTGATGTGTGAACTCAGCTAACAGAGGTGGATCTTTCTTTTGATAGAGAAGTTCTGAAAAACACTTTTTGTTGAATCTGCAAGTGGACATTTGGATAGATTTGAAGATTTCGTTGGAAACGGGAATATCTTCATATCAAATCTAGACAGAAGCATTCTCAGAAACGTCTTTGTGATGTTTGCATTCAACTCATAGAGTTGAACATTCCGTTTCAGAGAGCAGCTTTGAGGCACTCTTTTTGTAGTATGTGCAAGTGGATATTTGGAGCGCTCTGAGGCCTACGGTGAAAAAGCAAATATCTTCCCATAACCACTAGACAGAAACATTCTCAGAAACTCCTTTATGACGTATGCACTCACCTAACAGAGAAGAACTTTCCTTTTGACAGAGCAGTTTTGATACACTCTTTTTGTAGAATCTGCAAGTGGATATTTGGATAGCTGTGAAGATTTCGTTGGAAACGGGAATATCTTCCTATAAAATCTAGACAGAAGCATTCTCAGAAACTGCTCTGTGATGTCTGCATTCAAGTCACAGAGTTGAACATTGCCTTTCATAGAGCAGGTTTGAAACGCTCTTTTTGTAGTATATAAAAGTGGACGTTTCGGACGGTTTGAGGCCCATGGTCATAAAGGGAATATCTTACCCTACAAGCTAGAAAGAAGCATTCTGTGAAACTTGTTTGTGATGTGTGTACTCAACTAACAGCAGTTGAACCTTTCTTTTCACAGAGCAGTTTTGAAACACTCTTTTTGTAGAATCTGCGAGGGGAAATTTGGATAGATTTCAGGATTTCGTTGGAAACGGGAATATCTTCATACAAAATCTCGACAGAAGCATTCTCAGAAACTTCCTTGTGATATGTGCATTCGAGTCACAGAGTTGAATATTCCCTTTCACAGAGTAGGTTTGAAACACTCTTTTTGTAGTATCTGGAAGTGGACATTTGGAGCGCCTGGACGCCTACGGTGAAAAGGGAAATATCTTCCCATAAAAACTAGACAGAAGCAATCTCAGAATCTTCTTTGGGATTTATGCACGCCGCTAACAGAGATGAACCTTTCTATTGACAGAGCAGTTTTGAAACAGTCTTTCTGTGGAATCTGCAAGTGGATATTTGGATAGCTTGGAGGATTTCGTTGGAAACGGGATTACGTATAAAAAGTAGACAGCAGCATCCTCAGAAACTTCTTTGTGATGTGTGCATTCAAGTCACAGAGTTGAACATTCCCTTTCGTACAGCAGTTTTGAAACACTCTTTCTGTAGTATCTGGAAGTGAACATTAGGACAGCTTTCAGCTCTATGGTGAGAAAGGAAATATCTTCAAATAAAAACTAAACAGAAGCATTCTCATAAACTTGTTTGTGATGTGTGAACTCAGCTAACACACGTGGATCTTTCTTTTGATAGAGCAGTTCTGAAAAACACTTTTTGTTGAATCTGCAAGTGGACATTTGGATAGATTTGAAGATGTCGTTGGAAACGGGAATATCTTCATATCAAATCTAGACGGAAGCATTCTCAGAAACGTCTTTGTGATGTTTGCATTCAACTCATAGAGTTGAACATTCCGTTTCAGAGAGCAGCTTTGAAGCACTCTTTTTGTAGTATGTGCAAGCGGATATTTGGAGCGCTCTGAGGCCTACGGTGAAAAAGCAAATATCTTCCCATAACCACTAGACAGAAACATTCTCAGAAACTCCTTTATGACGTATGCACTCACCTAACAGAGAAGAACCTTCCTTTTGACAGAGCAGTTTTGAAACACTCTTTTTGTAGAATCTGCAAGTGGATATTTGGATACCTGTGAAGATTTCGTTGGAAACGGGAATATCTTCCTATAAAATCTAGACAGAAGCATTCTCAGAAACTGCTCTGTGATGACTGCATTCAAGTCACAGAGTTGAACATTGCCTTTCCTAGAGCAGGTTTGAAACGCTCTTTTTGTAGTATATGGAAGTGGACGTTTCGGACGGTTTGAGGCCCATGGTGATAAAGGGAATATCTTCCCCTACAAGCTAGAAAGAAGCATTCTGTGAAACTTGTTTGTGATGTGTGTACTCAACTAACAGAGTTGAACCTATCTTTTTACAGAGCAGTTTTGAAACACTCTTTTTGTAGAATCTGCGAGGGGATATTTGGATAGATTTCAGGATTTCGTTGGAAACGGGAATATCTTCATATAAAATCTCGACAGAAGCATTCTCAGAAACTTCTTTGTGATATCTGCATTCAAGTCACAGAGTTGAATATTCCCTTTCACAGAGTAGGTTTGAAACACTCTTTTTGTAGTATCTGGAAGTGGACATTTGGAGCGCCTTGACCGCTACGGTGAAAAGGGAAATATCTTCCCATAAAAACTAGACAGAAGCAATCTCAGAATCTTCTTTGGGATATATGCACGCAGCTAACAGAGTTGAACCTTTCTATTGACAGAGCAGTTTTGAAACAGTCTTTCTGTGGAATCTGCAAGTGGATATTTGGATAGTTGGAGGATTTCATTGGAAACGGGATTACGTATAAAAAGTAGACAGCAGCATCCTCAGAAACTTCTTTGTGATGTGTGCATTCAAGTCACAGAGTTGAACATTCCCTTTCGTACAGCAGTTTTGAAACACTCTTTCTGTAGTATCTGGAAGTGAACATTAGGACAGCTTTCAGCTCTATGGTGAGAAAGGAAATATCTTCAAATATAAACTAGACAGAAGCATTTTCATAAACTTGTTTGTGATGTGTGAACTCAGCTAACAGAGGTGGATCATTCTTTTGATAGAGCATCAGCTAACAGACGTGGATCTTTCTTTTGATACAGCAGTTTTGAAAAACACTTTTTGTTGAATCTGCAAGTGGACATTTGGATAGATATGAAGATTTCGTTGGAAACGGGAATATCTTCATATCAAATCTAGACAGAAGCATTCTCAGAAACGTCTTTGTGATGTTTGCATTCAACTCATAGAGTTGAACATTCCCTTCCAGAGAGTAGCTTTGAAGCACTCTTTTTGTAGCATGTGCAAGTGGACATTTGGAGCGCTCTGAGGCCTACGGGGAAAAAGCAAATATCTTCCCATAACCACTAGACAGAAACATTCTCAGAAACTCCTTTATGACGTATGCACTCACCTAACAGAAAAGAACCTTCCTTTTGACAGAGCAGTTTTGATACACTCTTTTTGTAGAATCTGCAAGTGGATATTTGGATAGCTGCGAAGATTTCGTTGGAAACGGGAATATCTTCCTATAAAATCTAGACAGAAGCATTCTCAGAAACTGCTCTGTGATGTCTGCATTCAAGTCACAGAGTTGAACATTGCCTTTCATAGAGCAGGTTTGAAACGCTCTTTTTGTAGTATATGGAAGTGGATGTTTCGGACGGTTGGAGGCCCATGGTGATAAAGGGAATATCTTTCCCTACAAGCTAGAAAGAAGCATTCTGTGAAACTTGTTTGTGATGTGTGTACTCAACTAACAGAGTTGAACCTTTCTTTTTACAGAGCAGTTTTGAAACACTCTTTTTGTAGAATCTGCGAGGGGATATTTGGATAGATTTCAGGATTTCGTTGGAAACGGGAATATCTTCATATAAAATCTCGACGGAAGCATTCTCAGAAACTTCTTTGTGATATGTGCATTCAAGTCACAGAGTTGAATATTCCCTTTCACAGAGTAGGTTTGAAACACTCTTTTTGTAGTATCTGGAAGTGGACATTTGGAGCGCCTTGACACCTATGGTGAAAAGGGAAATATCTTCCCATAAAAACTAGACAGAAGCAATCTCAGAATCTTCTTTGGGATATATGCACGCAGCTAACAGAGTTGAACCTTTCTATTGACAGAGCAGTTTAGAAACAGTCCTTCTGTGGAATCTGCAAGTGGATATTTGGATAGCTTGGAGGATTTCTTTGGAAACGGGATTACGTATAAAAAGTAGACAGCAGCATCCTCAGAAACTTCTTTGTGATGTGTGCATTCAAGTCACAGAGTTGAACATTCCCTTTCGTACAGCAGTATTGAAACACTCTTTCTGTAGTATCTAGAAGTGAACATTAGGACAGCTTTCAGGTCTATGGTGAGAAAGGAAATATCTTCAAATAAAAACTAGACAGAAGCATTCTCATAAACTTGTTTGTGATGTGTGAACTCAGCTAACAGAGGTGGATCTTTCTTTTGATAGAGCAGTTCTGAAAAACACTTTTTGTTGAGTCTGCAAGTGGACATTTGGATAGATTTGAAGATTTCGTTGGAAACGGGAATATCTTCATATCAAATCTAGACAGAAGCATTCTCAGAAACGTCTTTGTGATGTTTGCATTCAACTCATAGAGTTGAACATTCCCTTTCAGAGAGCAGCTTTGAAGCACTCTTTTTGTAGTATGTGCAAGTGGATATTAGGAGCGCTCTGAGGCCTAAGGTGAAAAAGCAAATATCTTCCCATAACCACTAGACAGAAACATTCTCAGAAACTCCTTTATGACGTATGCACTCACCTAACAGAGAAGAACCTTCCTTTTGACAGAGCAGTTTTGATACACTCTTTTTGTAGAATCTGCAAGTGGATATTTGGATAGCTGTGAAGATTTCGTTGGAAAGGGGAATATCTTCCTATAAAATCTAGACAGAAGCATTCTCAGAAACTGCTCTGTGATGTCTGCATTCAAGTCACAGAGTTTAACATTGCCTTTCATAGAGCAGGTTTGAAACGCTCTTTTTGTAGTATATGGAAGTGGACTTTTCGGACGGTTTGAGGCCCATGGTGATAAAGGGAATATCTTCCCCTACAAGCTAGAAAGAAGCATTCTGTGAAACTTGTTTGTGATGTGTGTACTCATCTAACAGAGTTGAACCTTTCTTTTTACAGAGCAGTTTTGAAACACTCTTTTTGTAGAATCTGCGAGGGGATATTTGGATACATTTCAGCATTTCGTTGGAAACGGGAATATCTTCATATAAAATCTCGACAGAAGCATTCTCAGAAACTTCTTTGTGATATGTGCATTCAAGTCACAGAGTTGAATATTCCCTTTCACAGAGTAGGTTTGAAACACTCTTTTTGTAGTATCTGGAAGTGGACATTTGGAGCGCTTTGACACCTACGGTGAAAAGGGAAATATCTTCCCATAAAAACTAGACAGAAGCAATCTCAGAATCTTCTTTGGGATATATGCACGCAGCCAACAGAGTTGAACCTTTCTATTGACAGAGCAGTTTTGAAACAGTCTTTCTGTGGAATCTGCAAGTGGATATTTGGATAGCTTGGAGGATTTCGTTGGAAACGGGATTACGTATAAAAAGTAGACAGCAGCATCCTCAGAAACTTCTTTGTGATGTGTGCATTCAAGTCACAGAGTTGAACATTCCCTTTCGTACAGCAGTTTTGAAACACTCTTTCTGTAGCATCTGGAAGTGAACATTAGGACAGCTTTCAGCTCTATGGTGAGAAAGGAAATATCTTCAAATAAAAACTAGACAGAAGCACTCTCATAAACTTGTTTGTGATGTGTGAACTCAGCTAACAGAGGTGGATCTTTCTTTTGATAGAGCAGTTCTGAAAAACACTTTTTGTTGAATCTGCAAGTGGACATTTGGATAGATTTGAAGATTTCGTTGGAAACGGGAATATCTTCATATCAAATCTAGACAGAAGCATTCTCAGAAACGTCTTTGTGATGTTTGCATTCAACTCATAGAGTTGAACATTCCCTTTCAGAGAGCAGCTTTGAAGCACTCTTTTTGTAGCATGTGCAAGTGGACATTTGGAGCGCCCTGAGGCCTACGGGGAAAAAAGCAAATATCTTCCCATAACCACTAGACAGAAACATTCTCAGAAAATTCTTTATGACGTATGTACTCAACTAGCAGAGAAGAACTTTCCTTTTGACAGAGCAGTTTTGATACACTCTTTTTGTAGAATCTGCAAGTGGATATTTGGATAGCTGTGAAGATTTCGCTGGAAACGGGAATATCTTCCTATAAAACCTAGACAGAAGCATTCTCAGAAACAGCTCTGTGATGTCTGCATTCAAGTCACAGAGTTGAACATTGCCTTTCATAGAGCAGGTTTGAAACGCTCTTTTTGTAGTATATGGAAGTGGACGTTTCGGACGGTTTGAGACCCATGGTGATAAAGGGAATATATTCTCCTACAAGCTAGAAAGAAGCATTCTGTGAAACTTGTTTGTGATGTATGTACTCAACTAACAGAGTTGAACCTTTCTTTTTACAGAGCAGTTTTGAAACACTCTTTTTGTAGAATCTGCGAGGGGATATTTGGATACATTTCAGGATTTCGTTGGAAACGGGAATATCTTCATAGAAAATCTCGACAGAAGCATTCTCAGAAACTTCCTTGTGATATGTGCATTCAAGTCACAGAGTTGAATATTCCCTTTCACAGAGTAGGTTTGAATCACTCTTTTTGTAGTATCTGGAAGTGGACATTTGGAGCGCCTTGACACCTAAGGTGAAAAGGGAAATATCTTCCCATAAAAACTAGACAGAAGCAATCTCAGAATCTTCTTTGGGATATATGCACGCAGCTAACAGAGTTGAACCTTTCTATTGACTGAGCAGATTTGAAACAGTCTTTCTGTGGAATCTGCAAGTGGATATTTGGATAGATTGGAGGATATCGTTGGAAACGGGATTACGTATAAAAAGTAGACAGCACCATCCTCAGAAACTTCTTTGTGATGTGTGCATTCAAGTCACAGAGTTGAACATTCCCTTTCGTACAGCAGTTTTGAAGCACTCTTTCTGTAGTATCTGGGAGTGAACATTAGGACAGCTTTCAGGTCTATGGTGAGAAAGGAAATATCTTCAAATAAAAACTAGACAGAAGCATTCTCATAAACTTGTTTGTGATGTGTGAACTCAGCTAACAGAGATGGATCTTTCTTTTGATAGAGCAGTTCTGAAAAACACTTTTTGTTGAATCTGCAAGTGGACATTTGGATAGATTTGAAGATTTCGTTGGAAACGGGAATATCTTCATATCAAATCTAGGCAGAAGCATTCTCAGAAACGTCTTTGCGATGTTTGCATTCAACTCATAGAGTTGAACATTCCGTTTCAGAGAGCAGCCTTGAGGCACTCTTTTTGTAGTATGTGCAAGTGGATATTTGGAGCGCTCTGAGGCCTACGGTGAAAAAGCAAATATCTTCCCATAACCACTAGACAGAAACATTCTCAGAAACTCCTTTATGACGTATGTACTCAACTAACAGAGAAGAACCTTCCTTTTGACAGAGCAGTTTTGATACACTCTTTTTGTAGAATCTGCAAGCGGATATTTGGATAGCTGTGAAGATCTCGTTGGAAACGGGAATATCTTCCTATAAAATCTAGACAGAAGCATTCTCAGAAACTGCTCTGTGATGTCTGCATTCAAGTCACAGAGTTGAACATTGCCTTTCATAGAGCAGGTTTGAAACGCTCTTTTTGTAGTATATGGATGTGGACGTTTCGGACGGTTTGAGGCCCATGGTGATAAAGGGAATATCTTCCCCTACAAGCTAGAAAGAAGCATTCTGTGAAACTTGTTTGTGATGTGTGTACTCAACTAACAGAGTTGAACCTTTCTTTTCACAGAGCAGTTTTGAAACACTCTTTTTGTAGAATCTGCGAGGGGATATTTGGATAGATTTCACCATTTCGTTGGAAACGGGAATATCTTCATATAAAATCTCGACAGAAGCATTCACAGAAACTTCTTTGTGATATCTGCATTCAAGTCACAGAGTTGAATATTCCCTTTCACAGAGTAGGTTTGAAACACTCTTTGTGGTATCTGGAAGTGGACATATCGAGCACCTTGACGCCTACGGTGAAAAGGGAAATATCTTCCCATAAAAACCAGACAGAAGCAATCTCAGAATCTTCTTTGGGATATATGCACGCAGCTAACAGAGTTGAATCTTTCTGTTGACAGAGCAGATTTGAAACAGTCTTTCTGTGGAATCTGCAAGTGGATATTTGGATAGATTGGAGGATTTCGTTGGAAACGGGATTACGTATAAAAAGTAGACAGCAGCATCCTCAGAAACTTCTTTGTGATGTGTGCATTCAAGTCACAGAGTTGAACATTCCCTTTCGTACAGCAGTTTTGAAACACTCTTTCTGTAGTATCTGGAAGTGAACATTAGGACAGATTTCAGCTCTATGGTGAGAAAGGAAATATCTTCAAATAAAAACTAGACAGAAGCATTCTCATAAACTTGTTTGTGATGTGTGAACTCATCTAACAGAGGTGGATCTTTCTTTTGATAGAGCAGTTCTGAAAAACACTTTTTGTTGAATCTGCAAGTGGACATTTGGATAGATTTGAAGATTTCGTTGGAAACGGGAATATGCTTCATATCAAATCTAGACAGAAGCATTCTCAGAAATGTCTTTGTGATGTTTGCATTCAACTCATAGAGTTGAACATTCCCTTTCAGAGAGCAGCTTTGAAGCACTCTTTTTGTAGTATGTGCAAGGGGATATTTGGAGCGCTCTGAGGCCTAAGGTGAAAAAGCAAATATCTTCCCATAACCACTAGACAGAAACATTCTCAGAAACTGCTTTATGACGTATGCACTCACCTAACAGAGAAGAACCTTCCTTTTGACAGAGCAGTTTTGATACACTCTTTTTGTAGAATCTGCAAGTGGATATTTGGATAGCTGTGAAGATTTCGTTGGAAACGGGAATATCTTCCTATAAAATCTAGACAGAAGCATTCTCAGAAACTGCTCTGTGATGTCTGCATTCAAGTCACAGAGTTGAACATTGCCTTTCATAGAGCAGGTTTGAAACGCTCTTATTGTAGTATATGGAAGTGGACTTATCGGACGGTTTGAGGCCCATGGTGATAAAGGGAATATCTTCCCCTACAAGCTAGAAAGAAGCATTCTGTGAAACTTGTTTGTGATGTGTGTACTCAACTAACAGAGTTGAACCTTTCTTTTCACAGAGCAGTTTTGAAACACTCTTTTTGTAGAATCTGCGAGGGGAAATTTGGATAGATTTCAGGATTTCGTTGGAAACGGGAATATCTTCATACAAAATACTCGACAGAAGCATTCTCAGAAACTTCTTTGTGATATGTGCATTCAAGTCACAGAGTTGAATATTCCCTTTCACAGAGTAGGTTTGAAACACTCTTTTTGTAGTATCTGGAAGTGGACATTTGGAGCGCCTTGACGCCTACAGTGAAAAGGGAAATATCTTCTCATAAAAAGTAGACAGAAGCAATCTCAGAATCTTCTTTGGGATATATGCACGCAGCTAACAGAGTTGAACCTTTCTATTGACAGAGCAGTTTTGAAACAGTCTTTCTGTGGAATCTGAAAGTGGATATTTGGATAGCTTGGAGGATTTCGTTGGAAACGGGATTACGCATAAAAAGTAGACAGCAGCATCCTCAGAAACTTCTTTGTGATGTGTGCATTCAAGTCACAGAGTTGAACATTCCCTTTCGTACAGTAGTTTTGAAACACTCTTTCTGTAGTATCTGGAATTGAACATTAGGACAGCTTTCAGGTCTATGGTGAGAAAGGAAATATCTTCAAATAAAAACTAGACAGAAGCATTCTCATAAACTTGTTTGTGATGTGTGAACTCAGCTAAGAGACGTGGATCTTTCTTTTGATAGAGCAGTTCTGAAAAACACGTTTTGTTGAATCTGCAAGTGGACATTTGGATAGATTTGAAGATTTCGTTGGAAACGGGAATATCTTCATATCAAATCTAGACAGAAGCATTCTCAGAAACGTCTTTGTGACGTTTGCATTCAACTCATAGAGTTGAACATTCCCTTTCAGAGAGCAGCTTTGAAGCACTCTTTTTGTAGTATGTGCAAGGGGATATTTGGAGCGCTCTGAGGCCTAAGGTGAAAAAGCAAATATCTTCCCATAACCACTAGACAGAAACATTCTCAGAAACTCCTTTATGACGTATGCACTCACCTAACAGAAAAGAACCTTCCTTTTGACAGAGCAGTTTTTATACACTCTTTTTGTAGAATCTGCAAGTGGATATTTGGATAGCTGTGAAGATTTCGTTGGAAACGGGAATATCTTCCTATAAAATCTAGACAGAAGCATTCTCAGAAACTGCTCTCTTATGTCTGCATTCAAGTCACAGAGTTGAACATTGCCTTTCCTAGAGCAGGTTTGAAACGCTCTTTTTGTAGTATATGGAAGTGGACGTTTCGGACGGTTTGAGGACCATGGTGATAAAGGGAATATCTTCCCCTACAAGCTAGAAAGAAGCATTCTGTGAAACTTGTTTGTGATGTGTGTACTCAACTAACAGAGTTGAACCTTTCTTTTCACAGAGCAGCTTTGAAACACTCTTTTTGTAGAATCTGCGAGGGGATATTTGGATAGATTTCAGGATTTCGTTGGAAACGGGTATATCTTCATATAAAATCTCGACAGAAGCATTCTCAGAAACTTCTTTGTGATATGTGCATTCAAGTCACACAGTTGAATATTCCCTTTCACAGAGTAGGTTTGAAACACTCTTTTTGTAGTATCTGGAAGTGGACATTTGGAGCGCCTTGACACCTACGGTGAAAAGGGAAATATCTTCCCATAAAAACTAGAGAGAAGCAATCTCAGAATCTTCCTTGGGATATATGCACGCAGCTAACAGAGTTGAACTTTTCTATTGACAGAGCAGTTTTGAAACAGTCTTTCTGTGGAATCTGCAAGTGGATATTTGGATAGCTTGGAGGATTTCGTTGGAAACGGGATTACGTATAAAAAGTAGACAGCAGCATCCTCAGAAACTTCTTTGTGATGTGTGCATTCAAGTCACAGAGTTGAACATTCCCTTTCATACAGCAGTTTTGAAACACTCTTTCTGTAGTATCTGGAAGTGAACAATAGGACAGCTTTCAGGTCTATGGTGAGAAAGGAAATATCTTCAAATAAAAACTAGACAGAAGGATTCTCATAAACTTGTTTGTGATGTGTGAACTCAGCTAACAGAGGTGGATCTTTCTTTTGATACAGCAGTTTTGAAAAACACTTTTTGTTGAATCTGCAAGTGGACATTTGGATAGATTTGAAGATTTCGTTGGAAACGGGAATATCTTCATATCAAATCTAGACAGAAGCATTCTCAGAAACGTCTTTGTGATGTTTGCATTCAACTCATAGAGTTGAACATTCCCTTTCAGAGAGCAGCTTTGAAGCACTCTTTTTGTAGTATGTGCAAGTGGATATTTGGAGCGCTCTGAGGCCTACGGGGAAAAAGCAAATATCTTCCCATAACCACTAGACAGAAACATTCTCAGAAACTCCTTTATGACGTATGCTCTCACCTAACAGAGAAGAACCTTCCTTTTGACAGAGCAGTTTTGATACACTCTTTTTGTAGAATCTGCAAGTGGATATTTGGATAGCTGTGAAGATTTCGTTGGAAACGGGAATATCTTCCTATAAAATCTAGACAGAAGCATTCTCAGAAAATGCTCTGTGATGTCTGCATTCAAGTCACAGAGTTGAACATTGCCTTTCATAGAGCAGGTTTGAAACGCTCTTTTTGTAGTATATGGAAGTGGACGTTTCGGACGGTTTGAGGCCCATGGTGATAAAGGGAATATCTTCCCCTACAAGCTAGAAAGAAGCATTCTGTGAAACTTGTTTGTGATGTGTGTACTCAACTAACAGAGTTGAACCTTTCTTTTCACAGAGCAGTTTTGAAACACTCTTTTCGTAGAATCTGCGAGGGGATATTTGGATAGATTTCAGCATTTCGTTGGAAACGGGAATATCTTCATATAAAATCTCGACAGAAGCATTCTCAGAAACTTCCTTGTGATATGTGCATTCAAGTCACAGAGTTGAATATTCCCTTTCACAGAGTAGGTTTGAAACACTCTTTTTGTAGTATCTGGAAGTGGACATTTGGAGCGCCTGGACGCCTACGGTGAAAAGGGAAATATCTTCCCATAAAAACTAGACAGAAGCAATCTCAGAATCTTCTTCGGGATATATGCACGCAGCTAACAGAGTTGAACCTTTCTATTGACAGAGCAGTTTTGAAACAGTCTTTCTGTGGAATCTGCTAGTGGATATTTGGATAGCTTGGAGGATTTCGTTGGAAACGGGATTAAGTATAAAAAGTAGACAGCAGCATCCTCAGAATCTTCTTTGTGATGTGTGCATTCAAGTCACAGAGTTGAACATTCCCTTTCGTACAGCAGTGTTGAAACACTCTTTATGTAGTATCTGGAAGTGAACATTAGGACAGCTTTCAGGTCTATGGTGAGAAAGGAAATATCTTCAAATAAAAACTAGACAGAAGCATTCTCATAAACTTGTTTGTGATGTGTGAACTCAGCTAACAGAGGCGGATCTTTCTTTTGATAGAGCAGTTCGGAAAAACACTTTTTGTTGAATCTGCAAGTGGACATTTGGATAGATTTGAAGATTTCGTTGGAAACGGGAATATCTTCATATCAAATCTAGACAGAAGCATTCTCAGAAACGTCTTTGGGATGTTTGCATTCAACTCATAGAGTTGAACATTCCCTTTCAGAGAGCAGCTTTGAAGCACTCTTTTTGTAGTATGTGCAAGTGGATATTTGGAGCGCTCTGAGGCCTAAGGTGAAAAAGCAAATATCTTCCCATAACCACTAGACAGAAACATTCTCAGAAACTCCTTTATGACGTATGTACTCAACTAACAGAGAAGAACCTTCCTTTTGACAGAGGAGTTTTGATACACTCTTTTTGTAGAATCTGCAAGTGGATATTTGGATAGCTGTGAAGATTTCGTTGGAAACGGGAATATCTTCCTATAAAATCCAGACAGAAGCATTCTCAGAAACAGCTCTGTGATGTCTGCATTCAAGTCACAGAGTTGAACACTGCCTTTCCTAGAGCAGGTTTGAAACGCTCTTTTTGTAGTATATGGAAGTGGACGTTTCGGACGGTTTGAGACCCATGGTGATAAAGGGAATATATTCCCCTACAAGCTAGAGAGAAGCATTCTGTGAAACTTGTTTGTGATGTTTGTACTCAACTAACAGAGTTGAACCTTTCTTTTACAGAGCAGTTTTGAAACACTCTTTTTGTAGAATCTGCGAGGGGATATTTGGATACATTTCAGGATTTCGTTGGAAACGGGAATATCTTCATATAAAATCTCGACAGAAGCATTCTCAGAAACTTCTTTGTGATATCTGCATTCAAGTCACAGAGTTGAATATTCCCTTTCACAGAGTAGGTTTGAAACACTCTTTTTGTAGTGTCTGGAAGTGGAAATTTGGAGCACATTGACACCTACGGTGAAAAGGGAAATATCTTCCCATTAAAACTAGACAGAAGCAATCTCAGAATTTTCTTTGGGATATATGCACACAGCTAACAGAGTTGAACTTTTCTATTGACATAGCAGTTTTGAAACGGTCTTTCTGTGGAATCTGCAAGTGGATATTTGGATAGCTTGGAGGATTTCGTTGGAAACGGGATTACGTATAAAAAGTAGACAGCAGCATCCTCAGAAACTTCTTTGTGATGTGTGCATTCAAGTCACAGAGTTGAACATTCCCTTTCGTACAGCAGTTTTGAAACACTCTTTCTGTAGTATCTGGAAGTGAACATTAGGACACCTTTCAGCTCTATGGTGAGAAAGGAAATATCTTCAAATAAAAACTAGACAGAAGCATTCTCATAAACATGTTTGTGATGTGTGAACTCAGCTAAAAGAGGTGGATCTTTCTTTTGATAGAGCAGTTCTGAAAAACACTTTTTGTTGAATCTGCAAGTGGACATTTGGATGGATTTGAAGATTTCTTTGGAAACGGGAATATCTTCATATCAAATCTAGACAGAAGCATTCTCAGAAACGTCTTTGTGATGTTTGCATTCAACTCATAGAGTTGAACATTCCGTTTCAAAGAGCAGCTTTGAGGCACTCTTTTTGTAGTATGTGCAAGTGGATATTTGGAGCGCTCTGAGGACTAAGGTGAAAAAGCAAATATCTTCCCATAACCACTAGACAGAAACATTCTCAGAAACTCCTTTATGACGTATGCACTCACCTAACAGAAAAGAACCTTCCTTTTGACAGAGCAGTTTTGATACACTCTTTTTGTAGAATCTGCAAGTGGATATTTGGATAGCTGTGAAGATTTCGTTGGAAACGGGAATGTCTTCCTATAAAATCTAGACAGAAGCATTCTCAGAAACTGCTCTGTGATGTCTGCATTCAAGTCACAGAGTTGAACATTGCCTTTCATAGAGCAGGTTTGAAACGCTCTTTTTGTAGTATATGGAAGTGGACGTTTCGGACGGTTTGAGGCCCATGGTGATAAAGGAAATATCTTCCCCTACAAGCTAGAAAGAAGCATTCTGTGAAACTTGTTTGTGATGTGTGTACTCAACTAACAGAGTTGAACCTTTCTTTTTACAGAGCAGTTTTGAAACACTCTTTTTGTAGAATCTGCGAGGGGAAATTTGGATACATTTCAGGATTTCGTTGGAAACGGGAATATCTTCATACAAAATCTCGACAGAAGCATTCTCAGAAGCTTCTTTGTGATATGTGCATTGAAGTCACAGAGTTCAATATTCCCTTTCACAGAGTAGGTTTGAAACACTCTTTTTGTAGTATCTGGAAGTGGACATTTGGAGCGCCTTGACGCCTACGGTGAAAAGGGAAATATCTTCCCATAAAAACTAGACAGAAGCAATCTCAGAATCTTCTTTGGGATATATGCACGCAGCTAACAGAGTTGAACCTTTCTATTGACAGAGCAGTTTTGAAACAGTCTTTCTGTGGAATCTGCAAGTGGATATTTGGATAGTTTGGAGGATTTCGTTGGAAACGGGATTACGTATAAAAATTAGACAGCAGCATCCTCAGAAACTTCTTTGTGATGTGTGCATTCAAGTCACAGAGTTGAATATTCCCTTTCATACAGCAGTTTTGAAACACTCTTTCTGTAGTATCTGGAAGTGAACTTTAGGAGAGCTTTCAGGTATATAGTGAGAAAGGATATATCTTCAAATAAAAACTAGACAGAAGCATTCTCATAAAGTTGTTTGTGATGTGTGAACTCAGCTAACAGAGGTGGATCTTTCTTTTGATAGAGCAGTTCTGAAAAACACTTTTTGTTGAATCTGCAAGTGGACATTTGGATAGACTTGAAGATTTCGTTGGACACGGGAATATCTTCATATCAAATCTAGACAGAAGCATTTTCAGAAACGTCTTTGTGATGTTTGCATTCAACTCATAGAGTTGAACATTCCGTTTCAGAGAGCAGCTTTGAGGCACACTTTTTGTAGTATGTGCAAGTGGATATTTGGAGCGCTCTGAGGCCTACGGTGAAAAAGCAAATATCTTCCCATAACCACTAGACAGAAACATTCTCAGAACTCCTTTATGACGTATGCACTCACCTAACAGAGAAGAACCTTCCTTTTGACAGAGCAGTTTTGATACACTCTTTTTGTAGAATCTGCAAGTGGATATTTGGATAGCTGTGAAGATTTCGTTGGAAACGGGAATATCTTCCTATAAAATCTAGACAGAAGGATTCTCAGAAACTGCTCTGTGATGTCTGCATTCAAGTCACAGAGTTGAACATTGCCTTTCATAGAGCAGGTTTGAAACGCTCTTTTTGTAGTATATGGAAGTGGACGTTTCGGACGGTTTGAGGCCAATGGTGATAAAGGGAATATCTTCCCCTACCAGCTAGAAAGAAGCATTCTGTGAAACTTGTTTGTGATGTGTGTACTCAACTAACAGAGTTGAACCTTTCTTTTTACAGAGCAGTTTTGAAACACGCTTTTTGTAGAATCTGCGAGGGGATATTTGGATAGATTTCAGGATTTCGTTGGAAACGGGAATATCTTCATATAAAATCTCGACAGAAGCATTCTCAGAAACTTCATTGTGATATCTGCATTCAAGGCACAGAGTTGAATATTCCCTTTCAGAGAGTAGGTTTGAAACACTCTTTTTGTAGTATCTGGAAGTGGACATTTGGAGCGCCTTGACACCTACGGTGAAAAGGGAAATATCTTCCCATAAAAACTAGACAGAAGCAATCTCAGAATCTTCTTTGGGATATATGCACGCAGCTAACAGAGTTGAACCTTTCTATTGACAGAGCAGTTTTGAAACAGTATTTCTGTGGAATCTGCAAGTGGATATTTGGATAGCTTGGAGGATTTCGTTGGAAAAGGGATTACGTATAAAAAGTAGACAGCAGCATCCTCAGAAACTTCTTTGTGATGTGTGCATTCAAGTCACAGAGTTGAACATTCCCTTTCGTACAGCAGTTTTGAAACACTCTTTCTGTAGTATCTGGAAGTGAACTTTAGGAGAGCTTTCAGGTCTATAGTGAGAAAGGAAATATCTTCAAATAAAAACTAGACAGAAAGCATTCTCATAAACTTCTTTGTGATGTGTGAACTCAGCTAACCGAGGTGGATCTTTCTTTTGATAGAGCAGTTCTGAAAAACACTTTTTGTTGAATCTGCAAGTGGACATTTGGATAGATTTGAAGATTTCGTTGGAAACGGGAATAACTTCATTTCAAATCTAGACAGAAGCATTCTCAGAAACGTCTTTGTGACGTTTGCATTCAACTCATAGAGTTGAACATTCCGTTTCAGAGAGCAGCTTTGAGGCACTCTTTTTGTAGTATGTGGAAGTGGATATTTGGAGCGCTCTGAGGCCTACGGTGAAAAAGCAAATATATTCCCATAACCACTAGACAGAAACATTCTCAGAAATTCCTTTATGACGTATGCACTCACCTAACAGAGAAGAACCTTCCTTTTGACAGAGCAGTTTTGATACACTCTTTTTGTAGAATCTGCAAGTGGATATTTGGATACCTGTGAAGATTTCGTTGGAAACGGGAATATCTTCCTATAACATCTAGACAGAAGCATTCTCAGAAACTGCTCTGTGATGTCTGCATTCAAGTCACAGAGTTGAACATTGCCTTTCATAGAGCAGGTTTGAAACGCTCTTTTTGTACTATATGGAAGAGGACGTTTCGGACGGTTTGAGGCCCATGGTGATAAAGGGAATATCTTCCCCTACAAGCTAGAAAGAAGCATTCTGTGAAACATGTTTGTGATGTGTGTTCTCAACTAACAGAGTTGAACCTTTCTTTTTACAGAGCACTTTTGAAACACTCTTTTTGTAGAATCTGCGAGGGGATATTTGGATAGATTTCAGGATTTCGTTGGAAACGGGAATATCTTCATATAAAATCTCGACAGAAGCATTCTCAGAAACTTCTTTGTGATATCTGCATTCAAGTCACAGAGTTGAATATTCCCTTTCACAGAGTAGGTTTGAAACACTCTTTTTGTAGTGTCTGGAAGTGGACATTTGGAGCACATTGACACCTACGGTGAAAAGGGAAATATCTTCCCATAAAAACTAGACAGAAGCAATCTCAGAATCTTCTTTGGGATATATGCACGCAGCTAACAGAGTTGAACCTTTCTATTGACAGAGCAGTTTTGAAACAGTCTTTCTGTGGAATCTGCAAGTGGATATTTCGATAGCTTGGAGGATTTCGTTGGAAACGGGATTACGTATAAAAAGTAGCCAGCAGCATCCTCAGAAACTTCTTTGTGATGTGTGCATTCAAGTCACAGAGTTGAGCATTCCCTTTCGTACAGCAGTTTTGAAACACTCTTTCTGTAGTATCTGGAAGTGAACATTAGGACAGCTTTCAGGTCTATGGTGAGAAAGGAAATATCTTCAAATAAAAACTAGACAGAAGCATTCTCATAAACTTGTTTGTGATGTGTGAACTCAGCTAACAGAGGTGGATCTTTCTTTTGATAGAACAGTTCTGAAAAACACTTTTTGTTGAATCTGCAAGTGGACATTTGGATAGATTTGAAGATTTCGTTGGAAACGGGAATATCTTCATATCAAATCTAGACAGAAAGCATTCTCAGAAACGTCTTTGTGATGTTTGCATTCAACTCATAGAGTTGAACATTCCGTTTCAGAGACCAGCTTTGAAGCACTCTTTTTGTAGTATGTGCAAGTGGATATTTGGAGCGCTCTGAGGCCTACGGTGAAAAAGCAAATATCTTCCCATAACCACTAGACAGAAACATGCTCAGAAACTCCTTTATGACGTATGCACTCACCTAACAGAGAAGAACCTTCCTTTTGACAGAGCAGTTTTGATACACTCTTTTTGTAGAATCTGCAAGTGGATATTTGGATAGCTGTGAAGATTTCGTTGGAAACGGGAATATCTTCCTATAAAATCTAGACAGAAGCATTCTCAGAAACTGCTCTGTGATGTCTGCATTCAAGTCACAGAGTTGAACATTGCCTTTCATAGAGCAGGTTTGAAACCCTCTTTTTGTAGTATATGGAAGTGGACGTTTCGGACGGTTTGAGGCCCATGGTGATAAAGGGAATATCTTCCCCTACAAGCTAGAAAGAAGCATTCTGTGAAACTTGTTTGTGATGTGTGTACTCAACTAATAGAGTTGAACCTTTCTTTTTACAGAGCAGTTTTGAAACACTATTTTTGTAGAATCTGCGAGGGGATATTTGGATAGATTTCAGGATTTCGTTGGAAACGGGAATATCTTCATATAAAATCTCGACAGAAGCATTCTCAGAAACTTCATTGTGATATCTGCATTCAAGTCACAGAGTTGAATATTCCCTTTCACAGAGTAGGTTTGAAACACTCTTTTTGTAGTATCTGGAAGTGGACATTTGGAGCGCCTTGACACCTACGGTGAAAAGGGAAATATCTTCCCATAAAAACTAGACAGAAGCAATCTCAGAATCTTCTTTGGGATATATGCACGCAGCTAACAGAGTTGAACCTTTCTACTGACAGAGCAGTTTAGAAACAGTCTTTCTGTGGAATCTGCAAGTGGATATTTGGATAGATTGGAGGATTTCGTTGGAAACGGGATTACGTATAAAAAGTAGACAGCAGCATCCTCAGAAACTTCCTTGTGATGTGTGCATTCAAGTCACAGAGATGAACATTCCCTTTCGTACAGCAGTTTTGAAACACTCTTTCTGTAGTATCTGGAAGTGAACATTAGGAGGGCTTTCAGGTCTATAGTGAGAAAGGATATATCTTCAAATAAAAACTAGACAGAAGAATTCTGATAAACTTGTTTGTGAAGTGTGAACTCAGCTAACACAGGTGGATCTTTCTTTTGATACAGCAGTTTTGAAAAACACTTTGTTGAATCTGCAAGTGGACATTTGGATAGATTTGAAGATTTCGTTGGAAACGGGAATATCTTCTTATCAAATCTAGACAGAAGCATTCTCAGAAACGTCTTTGTGATGTTTGCATTCAACTCACAGATTTGAACATTCCCTTTCAGAGAGCAGCTTTGAAGCACTCTTTTTGTAGTATGTGCAAGGGGATATTTGGAGCGCTCTGAGGCCTACGGTGAAAAAGCAAATATCTTCCCATAACCACTAGACAGAAACATTCTCAGAAACTCCTTTATGACGTATGCACTCACCTAACAGAGAAGAAGCTTCCTTTTGACAGAGCACTTTTGATACACTCTTTTTGTAGAATCTGAAAGTGGATATTTGGATAGCTGTGAAGATTTCGTTGGAAACGGGAATATCTTCCTATAAAATCTAGACAGAAGCATTCTCAGAAACTGCTCTGTGATGTCTGCATTCAAGTCACAGAGTTGAACATTGCCTTTCATTTAGCAGGTTTGAAACGCTCTTTTTGTAGTATATGGAAGTGGACGTTTCGGACGGTTTGAGGCCCATGGTGATAAAGGGAATATCTTCCCCTACAAGCTAGAAAGAAGCATTCTGTGAAACTTGTTTGTGATGTGTGTACTGAAGTAACAGAGTTGAACCTTTCTTTTTACAGAGCAGTTTTGAAACACTCTTTTTGTAGAATCTGCGAGGGGATATTTGGATAGAATTCAGGATTTCGTTGGAAACGGGAATATCTTCATAGAAAATCTCGACAGAAGCATTCTCAGAAGCTTCGTTGTGATATGTGCATTCAAGTCACAGAGTTGAATATTCCCTTTCACAGAGTAGGTTTGAAACACACTTTTTGTAGTATCTGGAAGTGGACTTTTGGAGCGCCTTGATGCCTACGGTGAAAAGGGAAATATCTTCTCATAAAAAGTAGACAGAAGCAATCTCAGAATCTTCTTTGGGATATATGCACGCAGCTAACAGAGTTGAACCTTTCTATTGACAGAGCAGTTTTGAAACAGTCTTTCTGTGGAATCTGCAAGTGGATATTTGGATAGCTTGGGAGGATTTCGTTGGAAACGGGATTACGTATAAAAAGTAGACAGCAGCATCCTCAGAAACTTCTTTGTGATGTGTGCATTCAAGTCACAGAGTTGAACATTCCCTTTCTTACAGCAGTTTTGAAACGCTCTTTCTGTAGTATCTGGAAGTGAACATTAGGACAGCTTTCAGGTCTATGGTGAGAAAGGAAATATCTTCAAATAAAAACTAGACAGAAGCATTCTCATAAACTTGTTTGTGATGTGTGAACTCAGCTAACAGACGTGGATCTTTCTTTTGATACAGCAGTTTTGAAAAACACTTTTTGTTGAATCTGCAAGTGGACATTTGGATAGATTTGAAGATTTCGTTGGAAACGGGAATATCTTCATATCAAATACTAGACAGAATCATTCCCAAAAACGTCTTTGTGATGTTTGCATTCAACTCATAGAGTTGAACATTCCGTTTCAGAGAGCAGCTTTGAAGCACTCTTTTTGTAGTATGTGCAAGGGGATATTTGGAGTGCTCTGAGGCCTAAGGTGAAAAGGCAAATATCTTCCCATAACCACTAGACAGAAACATTCTCAGAAACTCCTTTATGACGTATGCACTCACCTAACAGAGAAGAAACCTTCCTTTTGACAGAGCAGTTTTGATACACTCTTTTTGTAGAATCTGCAAGTGGATATTTGGATAGCTGTGAAGATTTCGTTGGAAACGGGAATATCTTCCTATAAAATCTATACAGAAGCATTCTCAGAAACTGCTCTGTGATGTCTGCATTCAAGTCACAGAGTTGAACATTGTCTTTCCTAGAACAGGTTTGAAACGCTCTTTTTGTAGTATATGGAAGTGGACGTTTCGGACGGTTTGAGGCCCATGGTGATAAAGGGAATATCTTCCCCTACAAGCTAGAAAGAAGCATTCTGTGAAACTTGTTTGTGATGTGTGTACTCAACTAACAGAGTTGAACCTTTGTTTTTACAGAGCAGTTTTGAAACACTCTTTTTGTAGAATCTACGAGGGGATATTTGGATACATTTCAGCATTTCGTTGGAAACGGGAATATCTTCATATAAAATCTCGACAGAAGCATTCTCAGAAACTTCTTTGTGATATCTGCATTCAAGTCACAGAGTTGAATATTCCCTTTCACAGAGTAGGTTTGAAACACTCCTTTTGTAGTATCTGGAAGTGGACATTTGGATCGCCTTGACGCCTACGGTGAAAAGGGAAATATCTTCTCATAAAAACTAGACAGAAGCAATCTCAGAATCTTCTTTGGGATATATGCACGCAGTTAACAGAGTTGAACCTTTCTATTGACAGAGCAGTTTTGAAACAGTCTTTCTGTGGAATCTCCAAGTGGATATTTGGATAGCTTGGAGCATTTCGTTGGAAACGGGATTACGTATAAAAAGTAGACAGCAGCATCCTCAGAAACTTCTTTGTGATGTGTGCATTCAAGTCACAGGGTTGAACATTCCCTTTCGTACAGCAGTTTTGAAACACTCTTTCTGTAGTAACTGGAAGTGAACATTAGGACAGCTTTCAGGTCTATGGTGAGAAAGGAAATATCTTCAAATAAAAACTAGACAGAAGCATTCTCATAATCTTGTTTGTGATGTGTGAACTCAGCTAACAGACGTGGATCTTTCTTTTGATACAGCAGTTTTGAAAAACACTTTTTGTTGAATCTGCAAGTGGACATTTGGATAGATATGAAGATTTCGTTGGAAACGGGAATATCTTCATATCAAATCTAGACAGAAGCATTCTCAGAAACGTCTTTGTCATGTTTGCATTCAACTCATAGAGTTGAACATTCCGTTTCAGAGAGCAGCTTTGAAGCACTCTTTTTGTAGTATGTGCAAGTGGATATTTGGAGCGCTCTGAGGCCTAAGGTGAAAAAGCAAATATCTTACCGTAACCACTAGACAGAAACATTCTCAGAAACTCCTTTATGACGTATGTACTCAACTAACAGAGAAGAACCTTCCTTTTGACAGAGCAGTTTTGATACACTCTTTTTGTAGAATCTGCAAGTGGATATTTGGATAGCTGTGAAGATTTCGCTGGAAACGGGAATATCTTCCTATAAAATCTAGACAGAAGCATTCTCAGAAACTGCTCTGTGATGTCTGCATTCAAGTCACAGAGTTGAACATTGCCTTTCATAGAGCAGGTTTCAAACACTCTTTTTTTAGTATATGGAAGTGGACGCTTCGGACGGTTTGAGGCCCATGGTGATACAGGGAATATCTTCCCCTACAAGCTAGAAAGAAGCATTCTGTGAAAGTTGTTTGTGATGTGTGTACTCAACTAACAGAGTTGAACCTTTGTTTTTACAGAGCAGTTTTGAAACACTCTTTTTGTAGAATCTGCGAGGGGATATTTGGATAGATTTCAGGATTTCATTGGAAACGGGAATATCTTCATATAAAATCTCAACAGAAGCATTCTCAGAAACTTCTTTGTGATATGTGCATTCAAGTCACAGGTTTGAATATTCCCTTTCACAGAGTAGGTTTGAAACACTCTTTTTGTAGTATCTGGAAGTGGACATTTGGAGCGCCTTGACGCCTAAGGTGAAAAGGGAAATATCTTCCCATAAAAACTAGACAGAAGCAATCTCAGAATCTTCTTTGGGATATATGCACCGCAGCTAACAGAGTTGAACCTTTCTATTGACAGAGCAGTTTTGAAACAGTCTTTCTGTGGAATCTGCAAGTGGATATTTGGATAGCTTGGAGGATTTCGTTGGAAACGGGATTACGCATAAAAAGTAGACAGCAGCATCCTCAGAAACTTCTTTGTGATGTGTGCATTCAAGTCACAGAGTTGAATATTCCCTTTCGTACAGCAGTTTTGAAACACTCTTTCTGTAGTATCTGGAAGTGAACACTAGGACAGCTTTCAGGTCTATGGTGAGAAAGGAAATATCTTCAAATAAAAACTAGACAGAAGCATTCTCTTAAACTTGTTTGTGATGTGTGAACTCAGCTAACAGATGTGGATCTTTCTTTTGATATAACAGTTTTGAAAAACACTTTTTGTTGAATCTGCAAATGGACATTTGGATAGATTTGAAGATTTCGTTGGAAACGGGAATATCTTCATATCAAATCTAGACAGAAGCATTCTCAGAAACGTCTTTGTGATGTTTGCATTCAACTCATAGAGTTGAACATTCCGTTTCAGAGAGCAGCTTTGAAGCACTCTTTTTGTAGTATGTGCAAGTGGATATTTGGATCGCTCTGAGGCCTACGGTGAAAAAGCAAATATCTTCCCATAACCACTAGACAGAAACATTCTCAGAAACTCCTTTATGACGTATGCACTCACCTAACAGAGAAGAACCTTCCTTTTGACAGAGCAGTTTTGATACACTCTTTTTGTAGAATCTGCAAGTGGATATGTGGATAGCTGTGAAGATTTCGTTGGAAACGGGAATATCTTCCTATAAAATCTAGACAGAAGCATTCTCAGAAACTGCTCTGTGATGTCTGCATTCAAGTCACAGAGTTGAACATTGCCTTTCATAGAGCAGGTTTGAAACGCTCTTTTTGTAGTATATGGAAGTGGATGTTTCGGACGGTTGGAGGCCCATGGTGATAAAGGGAATATCTTCCCCTACAAGATAGAAAGAAGCATTCTGTGAAACTTGTTTGTGATGTGTGTACTCAACTAAGAGAGTTGAACCTTTCTTTTCACAGAGCAGTTTTGAAACACTCTTTTTGTAGACTCTCCGAGGGGATATTTGGATAGATTTCAGGATTTCGTTGGAAACGGGAATATCTTCATACAAAATCTCGACAGAAGCATTCTCAGAAACTTCTTTGTGATATGTGCATTCAAGTCACAGAGTTGAATATTCCCTTTCACAGAGTAGGTTTGAAACACTCTTTTGGTAGTATCTGGAAGTGGACATTTGGAGCGCCTTGACACCTACGGTGAAAAGGGAAATATCTTCCCATCAAAACTAGACAGAAGCAATCTCAGAATCTTCTTTGGGATATATGCATGCAGCTAACAGAGTTGAACCTTTCTATTGACAGAGCAGTTTTGAAACAGTCTTTCTGTGGAATCTGCAAGTGGATATTTGGATAGCTTGGAGGATTTCGTTGGAAACGGGATTACGTATAAAAAGTAGACAGCAGCATCCTCAGAAACTTCTTTGTGATGTGTGCATTCAAGTCACAGAGTTGAACATTCCCTTTCGTACAGCAGTTTTGAAACACTCTTTCTGTAGTACCTGGAAGTGAACATTAGGACAGCTTTCAGGTCTATGGTGAGAAAGGAAATATCTTCAAATAAAAACTAGACAGAAGCATTCTCATAAACTTGTTTGTAATGTGTGAACTCAGCTAACACACGTGGATCTTTCTTTTGATAGAGCAGTTCTGAAAAACACTTTTTGTTGAATCTGCAAGTGGACATTTGGATAGATTTGAAGATTTCGTTGGAAACGGGAATATCTTCATATCAAATCTAGACAGAAGCATTCTCAGAAACGTCTTTGCGATGTTTGCATTCAACTCATAGAGTTGAACATTCCGTTTCAGAGAGCAGCTTTGAGGCACTCTTTTTGTAGTATGTGCAAGTGGATATTTGGAGCGCTCTGAGGCCTACGGTGAAAAAGCAAATATCATCCCATAACCACTAGACAGAAACATTCTCAGAAACTCCTTTATGATGTATGCGCTCACCTAACAGAGAAGAACCTTCCTTTTGACAGAGCACTTTTGATACACTCTTTTTGTAGAATCTGCAAGTGGATATTTGGATAGCTGTGAAGATTTCGTTGGAAACGGGAATATCTTCCTATAAAATCTAGACAGAAGCATTCTCAGAAACCGCTCTGTGATGTCTGCATTCAAGTCACAGAGTTGAACATTGCCTTTCATAGAGCAGGTTTGAAACGCTCTTTTTGTAGTATATGGAAGTGGATGTTTCGGACGGTTGGAGGCCCATGGTGATAAAGGGAATATCTTCCCCTACAAGCTAGAAAGAAGCATTCTGTGAAACTTGTTTGTGATGTGTCTACTCAACTAACAGAGTTGAACCTTTCTTTTTACAGAGCAGTTTTGAAACACTCTTTTTGTAGAATCTGCGAGGGGATATTTGGATACATTTCAGGATTTCGTTGGAAACGGGAATATCTTCATATAAAATCTCGACAGAAGCATTCTCAGAAACTTCCTTGTGATATGTGCATTCAAGTCACAGAGTTGAATATTCCCTTTCACAGAGTAGGTTTGAAACACTCTTTTTGTAGTATCTGGAAGTGGACATTTGGAGCACCTTGACGCCTACGGTGAAAAGGGAAATATCTTCCCATAAAAACTAGACAGAAGCAATCTCAGAATCTTCTTTGGGATATATGCACGCAGCTAACAGAGTTGAACCTTTCTATTGACAGAGCAGTTTTGAAACAGTCTTTCTGTGGAATCTGCAAGTGGATATTTCGATAGCTTGGAGGATTTCGTTGGAAACGGGATTACGTATAAAAAGTAGACAGCAGCATCCTCAGAAACTTCTTTGTGATGTGTGCATTCAAGTCACAGAGTTGAACATTCCCTTTCGTACAGCAGTTTTGAAACACTCTTTCTGTAGCATCTGGAAGTGAACATTAGGACAGCTTTCAGGTCTATGTTGAGAAAGGAAATATCTTCAAATAAAAACTAGACAGAAGCATTCTCATAAACTTCTTTGTGATGTGTGAACTCAGCTAACAGAGGTGGATCTTTCTTTTGATAGAGCAGTTCTGAAAAACACTTTTTGTTGAATCTGCAAGTGGACATTTGGATAGATATGAAGATTTCGTTGGAAACGGGAATATCTTCATATCAAATCTAGACAGAAGCATTCTCAGAAACGTCTTTGCGATGTTTGCATTCAACTCATAGAGTTGAACATTCCGTTTCAGAGACCAGCTTTGAAGCACTCTTTTTGTAGTATGTGCAAGTGGATATTTGGAGCGCTCTGAGGCCTACGGTGAAAAAGCAAATATCTTCCCATAACCACTAGACAGAAACATTCTCAGAAACTCCTTTATGACGTATGCACTCACCTAACAGAGAAGAACCTTCCTTTTGACAGAGCAGTTTTGATACACTCTTTTTGTAGAATCTGCAAGTGGATATTTGGATAGCTGTGAAGATTTCGTTGGAAACGGGAATATATTCCTATAAAATCTAGACAGAAGCATTCTCAGAAACTGCTCTGTGATGTCTGCATTCAAGTCACAGAGTTGAACATTGCCTTTCATAGAGCAGGTTTGAAACGCTCTTTTTGTAGTATATAAAAGTGGACGTTTCGGACGGTTTGAGGCCCATGGTCATAAAGGGAATATCTTCCCATACAAGCTAGAAAGAAGCATTCTGAGAAACTAGTTTGTGATGTGTGTATTCAACTAACAGCGGTGAACCTTTCTTTTTACAGAGCTGTTTTGGAAAACTCTTTTTGTAGAATCTGCGAGGGGATATTTGCATAGGTTTCAGGATTTCGTTGGAAACGGGAATAACTTCATATAAAATCTCGACAGAAGCATTCTCAGAAACTTCTTTGTGATATCTGCCTTCAAGTCACAGAGTTGAATATTCCCTTTCACAGAGTAGGTTTGTAACACTCTTTTTGTAGTATCTGGAAGTGGACATTTGGAGCGCCTTGACGCCTACGGTGAAAAGGGAAATATCTTCCCATAAAAACTAGACAGAAGCAATCTCAGAATCTTCTTTGGGATATATGCACGCAGCTAACAGAGTTGAACCTTTCTATTGACAGAGCAGTTTTGAAACAGTCTTTCTGTGGAATCTGCAAGTGGATATTTGGATAGCTTGGAGGGTTTCGTTGGAAACGGGATTACGTATAAAAAGTAGACAGCAGCATCCTCAGAAACTTCTTTGTGATGTGTGCATTCAAGTCACAGAGTTGAACATTCCCTTTCGTACAGCAGTTTTGAAACACTCTTTCTGTAGTATCTGGAAGTGAACATTAGTACAGCTTTCAGGGCTATGGTCAGAAAGGAAATATCTTCAAATAAAAACTAGACAGAAGCATTCTCATAAACTTGTTTGTGATGTGTGAACTCAGCTAACGCACGTGGATCTTTCTTTTGATAGAGCAGTTCTGAAAAACACTTTTTGTTGAATCTGCAAGTGGACATTTGGATAGATTTGAAGATTTCGTTGGAAACGGGAATATCTTCATATCAAATCTAGACAGAAGCATTGTCAGAAACGTCTTTGTCATGTTTGCATTCAACTCTTAGAGTTGAACATTCCGTTTCAGAGAGCAGCTTTGAAGCACTCTTTTTGTAGTATGTGCAAGCGGATATTTGGAGCGCTCTGAGGCCTACGGTGAAAAAGCAAATATCTTCCCATAACCACTAGACAGAAACATTCTCAAAAACTCCTTTATGACGTATGTACTCAACTGACAGAGAAGAACTTTCCTTTTGACGGAGCATTTTTGATACACTCTTTTTGTACTGTCTGCAAGTGGATATTTGGATAGCTGTGAAGATTTCGTTGGAAACGGGAATATCTTCCTATAAAACCTAGACAGAAGCATTCTCAGAAACTGCTCTGTGATGTCTGCATTCAAGTCACAGAGTTGAACATTGCCTTTCATAGAGCAGGTTTGAAACGCTCTTTTTGTAGTATATGGAAGTGGACGTTTCGGAGGGTTTGAGGCCCATGGTGATAAAGGGAATATCTTCCCCTACAAGCTAGAAAGAAGAATTCTGTGAAACTTGTTTGTGATGTGTGTACTCAACTAACAGAGTTGAACCTTTCTTTTTACAGAGCAGTTTTGAAACACTCTTTTTGTAGAATCTGCGAGGGGATATTTGGATAGATTTCAGGATTTCGTTGGAAACGGGAATATCTTCATATAAAATCTCGACAGAAGCATTCTCAGAAACTTCTTTGTGATATCTGCATTCAAGTCACAGAGTTGAATATTCCCTTTCACAGAGTAGGTTTGAAACACTCCTTTTGTAGTATCTGGAAGTGGACATTTGGATCGCCTTGACACCTACGGTGAAAAGGGAAATATCTTCTCATAAAAACTAGACAGAAGCAATCTCAGAATCTTCTTTGGGATATATGCACGCAGCTAACAGATTTGCACCTTTCTATTGACAGAGCAGTTTTGAAACAGTCTTTCTGTGGAATCTGCAAGTGGATATTTGGATAGCTTGGAGGATTTCGTTGGAAACGGGATTACGCATAAAAAGTAGACAGCAGCATCCTCAGAAACTTCTTTGTGATGTGTGCATTCAAGTCACAGATTTGAACATTCCCTTTTGTACACCAGTTTTGAAAGACTCTTTCTGTAGCATCTGGAAGTGAACATTAGGACAGCTTTCAGGTCTATGGTGAGAAAGGAAATATCTTCAAATAAAAACTAGACAGAAGCATTCTGATAAACTTGTTTGTGAAGTGTGATCTCAGCTAACAGAGGTGGATCTTTCTTTTGATAGAGCAGTTCTGAAAAACACTTTGTTGAATCTGCAAGTGGACATTTGTATAGATTTGAAGATTTCGTTGGAAACGGGAATTTCTTCATATCAAATCTAGATAGAAGCAATCTCAGAAACGTCTTTGTGATGTTTGCATTCAACTCATAGAGTTGAACATTCCGTTTCAGAGAGCAGCTTTGAAGCACTCTTTTTGTAGTATGTGCAAGCGGATATTTGGAGCGCTCTGAGGCCTACGGTGATAAAGCAAATATCTTCCCATAACCACTAGACAGAAACATTCTCAGAAACTCCTTTATGACGTATGCACTCACCTAACAGAAAAGAACCTTCCTTTTGACAGAGCAGTTTTGATACAATCTTTTTGTAGAATCTGCAAGTGGATATTTGGATAGCTGTGAAGATTTCGTTGGAAACGGGAATATCTTCCTATAAAATCTAGACAGAAGCATTCTCAGAAACTGCTCTGTGATGTCTGCATTCAAGTCACAGAGTTGAACATTGCCTTTCATAGAGCAGGTTTGAAACGCTCTTTTTGTAGTATATGGAAGTGGACTTTTCGGACGGTTTGAGGCCCATGGTGATAAAGGGAATATCTTCCCCTACAAGCTAGAAAGAAGCATTCTGTGAAACTTGTTTGTGATGTGTGTACTCAACTCACAGGAGTTGAACCTTTCTTTTTACAGAGCAGTTTTGAAACACTCTTTTTGTAGAATCTGCGAGGGCATATTTGGATAGATTTCAGGATTTCGTTGGAAAGGGGAATATCTTCATATAAAATCTCGACAGAAGCATTCTCAGAAACTTCTCTGTGATATGTGCATTGAAGTCACCGAGTTAAATATTCCCTTCCACACAGTAGGTTTGAAACACTCTTTTTTTGTAGTATCTGGAAGTGGAAATTTGGAGCGCTTTGATGCCTATGGTGAAAAAGGAAATATCTTCCAATAAAAACTAGTCAGAAGCAATCTCAGAATCTTCTTTGGGATATATGCACGCAGCTAACAGAGTTGAACCTTTCTATTGACAGAGCAGTTTAGAAACAGTCCTTCTGTGGAATCTGCAAGTGGATATTTGGATAGCTTGGAGGATTTCTTTGGAAACCGGGATTACGTATAAAAAGTAGACAGCAGCATCCTCAGAAACTTCTTTGTGATGTGTGCATTCAAGTCACAGAGTTGAGCATTCCCTTTCGTACAGCAGTTTTGAAACACTCTTTCTGTAGTATCTGGAAGTGAACATTAGGACAGCTTTCAGCTCTATGGTGAGAAAGGAAATATCTTCAAATAAAAACTAGACAGAAGCATTCTCATAAACTTGTTTGTGATGTGTGAACTCAGCTAAGAGAGGTGGATCTTTCTTTTGATAGAGCAGTTCTGAAAAACACTTTTTGTTGAATCCGCAAGTGGACATTTGGATAGATTTGAAGATTTCGTTGGAAACGGGAATATCTTCATATCAAACCTAGACAGAAGCATTCTCAGAAACGTCTTTGTGATGTTTGCATTCAACTCATAGAGTTGAACATTCCCTTTCAGAGAGCAGCTTTGAAGCACTCTTTTTGTAGTATGTGCAAGGGGATATATGGAGCGCTCTGAGGCCTAAGGTGAAAAAGCAAATATCTTCCCATAACCACTAGACAGAAACATTCTCAGAAACTCCTTTATGACATATGTACTCAACTAACAGAGAAGAACCTTCCTTTTGACAGAGCAGTTTTGATACACTCTTTTTGTAGAATCTGCAAGTGGATATTTGGATAGCTGTGAAGATTTCGTTGGAAACGGGAATATCTTCCTATAAAATCTAGACAGAAGCATTCTCAGAAACTGCTCTGTGATGTCTGGATTCAAGTCACAGAGTTGAACATTGCCGTTCATAGAGCAGGTTTGAAACACTCTTTTTGTAGTATATGGAAGTGGACGTTTCGGACGGTTTGAGGCCCATGGTGATAAAGGGAATATCTTCCCATACAAGCTAGAAAGAAGCATTCTGTGAAACTTGTTTGTGATGTGTGTACTCATCTAACAGAGTTGAACCTTTCTTTTTACAGAGCAGTTTTGAAACACTCTTTTTGTAGAATCTGCGTGGGGATATTTGGATAGATTTCAGGATTTCGTTGGAAACGGGAATATCTTCATATAAAATCTCGACAGAAGCATTCTCAGAAACTTCTTTGTGATATCTGCATTCAAGTCACAGAGTTGAATATTCCCTTTCACAGAGTAGGTTTGAAACACTCTTTTTGTAGTATCTGGAAGTGGACATTTTGAGCGCCTTGACACCTACGGTGAAAAGGGAAATATCTTCCCATAAAAACTAGACAGAAGCAATCTCAGAATCTTCTTTGGGATATATGCACGCAGCTAACAGAGTTGAACCTTTCTATTGACAGAGCAGTTTTGAAACAGTCTTTCTGTGGAATCTGCAAGTGCATATTTGGATAGCTTGGAGGATTTCGTTGTAAACGGGATTACGTATAAAAATTAGACAGCAGCATCCTCAGAAACTTCTTTGTGATGTGTGCATTCAAGTCACAGAGTTGAACATTCCCTTTCGTACAACAGTTTTGAAACACTCTTTCTGTAGCATCTGGAAGTGAACATTTGGACAGCTTTCAGGTCTATGGTGAGAAAGGAAATATCTTCAAATAAAAACTAGACAGAAGCATTCTCATAAACTTGTTTGTGATGTGTAAACTCAGCTAACAGAGGTGGATCTTTCTTTTGATAGAGCAGTTCTGAAAAACACTTTTTGTTGAATCTGCAAGTGGACATTTGGATAGATTTGAAGATTTCGTTGGAAACGGGAATATCTTCATATCAAATCTAGACAGAAGCATTCTCAGAAACGTCTTTGTGATGTTTGCATTCAACTCATAGAGTTGAACGTTCCGTTTCAGAGACCAGCTTTGAAGCACTCTTTTTGTAGTATGTGCAAGTGGATATTTGGAGCGCTCTGAGGCCTACGGTGAAAAAGCAAATATCTTCCCATAACCACTAGACAGAAACATTCTCAGAAACTCCTTTATGACGTATATACTCAACTAACAGAGAAGAACCTTCCTTTTGACAGAGCAGTTTTGATACACTCTTTTTGTAGAATCTGCAAGTGGATATTTGGATAGCTGTGAAGATTTCGTTGGAAACGGGAATATCTTCCTATAAAATCTAGACAGAAGTATTCTCAGAAACAGCTCTGTGATGTCTGCATTCAAGTCACAGAGTTGAACATTGCCTTTCATAGAGCAGGTTTGAAACGCTCTTTTTGTAGTATATGTAACTGGAGGTTTCGGACGGTTTGAGGCCCATGGTGATAAAGGGAATATCTTCCCCTACAAGCTAGAAAGAAGCATTCTGTGAAACTTGTTTGTGATGTGTGTACTCAACTAACAGTGTTGAACCTTTCTTTTTACAGAGTAGTTTTGAAACACTATTTTTGTAGAATCTGCGAGGGGATATTTGGATAGATTTCAGGATTTCGTTGGAAACGGGAATATCTTCATATAAAATCTCGACAGAAGCATTCTCAGAAACTTCTTTGTGATATCTGCATTCAAGTCACAGAGTTGAATATTCCCTTTCACAGAGTAGGTTTGAAACACTCTTTTTATAGTATCTGGAAGTGGACATTTGGAGCGCCTTGACACCTACGGTGAAAAGGGAAATATCTTCCCATAAAAACTAGACAGAAGCAATCTCAGAATCTTCTTTGGGATATATGCACGCAGCTAACAGAGTTGAACCTTTCTATTGACACAGCAGTTTAGAAACAGTCTTTCTGTGGAATCTGCAAGTGGATATTGGGATAGCTTGGAGGATTTCGTTGGAAACGGGATTACGTATAAAAAGTAGACAGCAGCATCCTCAGAAACTTCTTTGGGATGTGTGCATTCAAGTCACAGAGTTGAACATTCCCTTTCGTACAGCAGTTTTGAAACACTCTTTCTGTAGTATCTGGAAGTGAACATTAGGACAGCTTTCAGGTCTATGGTGAGAAAGGAAATATCTTCAAATAAAAACTAGACAGAAGCATTCTCATAAACTTGTTTGTGATGTGTGAACTCAGCTAACAGAGGTGGATCTTTCTTTTGATAGAGCAGTTCTGAAAAACACTTTTTGTTGAATCTGCAAGTGGACATTCGGATAGATTTGAAGATTTCATTGGAAACGGGAATATCTTCATATCAAATCTAGACAGAAGCATTCTCAGAAACGTCTTTGTGATGTTTGCATTCAACTCATAGAGTTGAACATTCCCTTTCAGAGAGCAGCTTTGAAGCACTCTTTTTGTAGTATGTGCAAGGGGATATTTGGAGCGCTCTGAGGCCTAAGGTGAAAAAGCAAATATCTTCCCATAACCACTAGACAGAAACATTCTCAGAAACTCCTTTATGACGTACGCACTCACCTAACAGAGAAGAACCTTCCTTTTGACAGAGCAGTTTTGATACACTCTTTTTGTAGAATCTGCAAGTGGATATTTGGATAGCTGTGAAGATTTCATTGGAAACGGGAATATCTTCCTATAAAATCTAGACAGAAGCATTCTCAGAAACTGCTCTGTGATGTCTGCATTCAAGTCACAGAGTTGAACATTGCCTTTCATAGAGCAGGTTTGAAACGCTCTTTTTGTAGTATATGGAAGTGGACGTTTCGGACGGTTTAAGGCCCATGGTGATAAAGGGAATATCTTCCCCTACTAGCTAGAAAGAAGCATTCTGTGAAACTTGTTTCTGATGTGTGTACTCAACTAACAGAGTTGAACCTTTCTTTTCACAGAGCAGTTTTGAAACACTCTTTTTGTAGAATCTGCGAGCGGATATTTGGATAGATTTCAGGATTTCGTTGGAAACGGGAATATCTTCATATAAAATCTCGACAGAAGCATTCTCAGAAACTTCTTTGTGATATCTGCATTCAAGTCACAGAGTTGAATATTCCCTTTCACCGAGTAGGTTTGAAAAACTCTTTTTGTAGTATCTGGAAGTGGACATTTGGAGCGCCTTGACGCCTACGGTAAAAAGGGAAATATCTTCCCATAAAAACTAGACAGAAGCAATCTCAGAATCTTCTTTGGGATATATGCACGCAGCTAACAGAGTTGAACCTTTCTATTGACAGAGCAGTTTTGAAACAGTCTTTCTGTGGAATCTGCAATTGGATATTTGGATAGCTTGGAGGATTTCGTTGGAAACGGGATTACGTATAAAAAGTAGACAGCAGCATCCTCCGAAACTTCTTTGTGATGTGTGCATTCAAGTCCCAGAGTTGAACATTCCCTTTCGTACAGCAGTTTTGAAACACTCTTTCTGTAGTATCTGGAAGTGAACATTAGGACAGCTTTCAGCTCTATGGTGAGAAAGGAAATATCTTCAAATAAAAACTAGACAGAAGCATTCTGATAAACTTGTTTGTGATGTGTGAACTCAGCTAACAGAGGTGGATCTTTCTTTGGTACAGCAGTTTTGAAAAACACTTTGTTGAATCTGCAAGGGGACATTTGGATAGATTTGAAGATTACGTTGGAAACGGGAATATCTTCATATCAAATCTAGACAGAAGCATTCTCAGAAACGTCTTTGTGATGTTGGCATTCAACTCATAGAGTTGAACATTCCGTTTCAGAGAGCAGCTTTGAAGCACTCTTTTTGTAGTATGTGCAAGTGGATATTTGGAGCGCTCTGAGGCCTAAGGTGCAAAAGCAAATATCTTCCCGTAACCAGTAGACAGAAACATTCTCAGAAACTCCTTTATGACGTATGTACTCAACTAACAGAGAAGAATCTTCCTTTTGACAGAGCAGTTTTGATACACTCTTTTTGTAGAATCTGCAAGTGGATATTTGGATAGCTGTGAAGGTTTCGTTGGAAACGGAAATATCTTCCTATAAAATCTACACAGAAGCATTCTCAGAAACTGCTCTGTGATGTCTGTATTCAAGTCACAGAGTTGAACATTGCCTTTCATAGAGCAGGTTTGAAACGCTCTTTTTGTAGTATATGGAAGTGGATGTTTCGGACGGTTGGAGGCCCATGGTGATAAAGGGAATATCTTCCCCTACAAGCTAGAAAGAAGCATTCTGTGAAACTTGTTTGTGATGTGTGTACTCAACTAACAGAGTTGAACCTTTCTTTTCACAGAGCAGTTTTGAAACACTCTTTTTGTAGAATTTGCGAGGGGATATTTGGATAGATTTCAGGATTTCGTTGGAAACGGGAATATCTTCATACAAAATCTCGACAGAAGCATTCTCAGAAACTTCTTTGTGATATGTGCATTCAAGTCACAGAGTTGAATATTCTCTTTCACAGAGTAGGTTTGAAACACTCTTTTTGTAGTATCTGGAAGTGGACATTTGGAGTGCCTTGACACCTACGGTGAAAAGGGAAATATCTTCCCATAAAAACTAGACAGAAGCAATCTCAGAATCTTCTTTGGGATACATGCACGCAGCTAACAGAGTTGAACCTTTCTATTGACAGAGCAGTTTTGAAACAGTCTTTCTGTGGAATCTGCAAGTGGATATTTGGATAGCTTGGAGGATTTCGTTGGAAACGGGATTAAGTATAAAAAGTAGACAGCCGCATCCTCAGAAACTTCTTTGTGATGTGTGCATTCAAGTCCCAGAGTTGAACATTCCCTTTCGTACAGCAGTTTTGAAACACTCTTTCTGTAGTATCTGGAAGTGAACATTAGGACAGCTTTCAGGTCTATGGTGAGAAAGGAAATATCTTCAAATAAAAACTAGACAGAAGCATTCTCATAAACTTGTTTGTGATGTGTGAACTCAGCTAACAGAGGTGGATCTTTCTTTTGATAGAGCAGTTCTGAAAAACACTTTTTGTTGAATCTGCAAGTGGACATCTGGATAGATTTGAAGATTTCGTTGGAAACGGGAATATCTTCATATCAAATCTAGACAGAAGCATTCTCAGAAACGTCTTTGTGATGTTTGCATTCAACTCATAGAGTTGAACATTCCGTTTCAGAGAGCAGCTTTGAAGCACTCTTTTTGTAGTATGTGCAAGTGGATATTTTGAGCGCTCTGAGGCCCACGGTGAAAAAGCAAATATCTTCCCATAACCACTAGACAGAAACATTCTCAGAAACTCCTTTATGACGTATGCACTCACCTAACAGAGAAGAACCTTCCTTTTGACAGAGCAGTTTTGATACACTCTTTTTGTAGAATCTGCAAGTGGATATTTGGATAGCTGTGAAGATTTCGTTGGAAACGGGAATATCCTCCTATAATATCTAGACAGAAGCATTCTCAGAAACTGCTCTGTGATGTCTGTATTCAAGTCACAGAGTTGAACATTGCCTTTCATAGAGCAGGTTTGAAACGCTCTTTTTGTAGTATATGGAAGTGGATGTTTCGGACGGTTTGAGGCCCATGGTGATAAAGGGAATATCTTCCCCTACAAGCTAGAAAGAAGCATTCTGTGAAACTTGTTTGTGATGTGTGTACTCAAGTAACAGAGTTGAACCTTTCTTTTTACAGAGCAGTTTTGAAACACTCTTTCTGTAGAATCTGCGAGGGGATATTTGGATAGATTTCAGGATTTCGTTGGAAACGGGAATATCTTCATATAAAATCTCGACAGAAGCATTTTCAGAAACTTCTTTGTGATATGTGCATTCAAGTCACAGAGTTGAATATTCCCTTTCACAGAGTACGTTTGAAACACTCTTTTTGTTGTATCTGGAAGTGGACATTTGGAGCGCCTTGACGCCTACGGTGAAAAGGGAAATATCTTCCCATAAAAACTAGACAGAAGCAATCTCAGAATCTTCTTTGGGATATATGCACGCAGCTAACAGAGTTGAACCTTTCTATTGACAGAGCAGTATTGAAACAGTCTTTCTGTGGAATCTGCAAGTGGATATTTGGATAGCTTGGAGGATTTCGTTGGAAACGGGATTACGTATAAAAAGTAGACAGCAGCATCCTCAGAAACATCCTTGTAATGTGTGCATTCAAGTCACAGAGTTGAACATTCCCTTTCGTACAGCAGTTTTGAAACACTCTTTCTGTAGTATCTGGAAGTGAACTTTAGGACAGCTTTCAGGTCTATCGTGAGAAAGGATATATCTTCAAATAAAAACTAGACAGAAGCATTCTGATAAACTTGTTTGTGAAGTGTGAACTCAGCTAACAGAGGTGGATCTTTCTTTTGATAGAGCAATTCTGAAAAACACTTTGTTGAATCTGCAAGTGGACATTTGGATAGATTTGAAGATTTCGTTGGAAACGGGAATATCTTCATATCAAATCTAGACAGAAGCATTCTCAGAAACGTCTTTGTGATGTTGGCATTCAACTCATAGAGTTGAACATTCCGTTTCAGAGAGCAGCTTTGAAGCACTCTTTTTGTAGTATGTGCAAGGGGATATTTTGAGCGCTCTGAGGCCTAAGGTGAAAAAGCAAATATCTTCCCATAACCACTAGACAGAAACATTCTCAGAAACTCCTTTATGACGTATGCACTCACCTAACAGAGAAGAACCTTCCTTTTGACAGAGCAGTTTTGATACACTCTTTTTGTAGAATCTGCAAGTTTATATTTGGATAGCTGTGAAGATTTCGTTGGAAACGGGAATATCTTCCTATAAAATCTAGACAGAAGCATTCTCAGAAACTGCTCTGTGATGTCTGCATTCAAGTCACAGAGTTGAACATTGTCTTTCATAGAGCAGGTTTGAAGCGCTCTTTTTGTAGTATATGGAAGTGGACGTTTCGGACGGTTTGAGGCCCATGGTGATAAAGGGAATATCTTCCCCTACAAGCTAGAAAGAAGCATTCTGTGAAACTTGTTTGTGATGTGTGTACTCAACTAACAGAGTTGAACCTTTCTTTTTACAGAGCAGTTTTGAAACACTCTTTTTGTAGAATCTGCGAGGGGATATTTGGATAGATTTCAGGATTTCGTTGGAAACGGGAAGATCTTCATATAAAATCTCGACAGAAGCATTCTCAGAAACTTCCTTGTGATATGTGCATTCAAGTCACAGAGTTGAATATTCCCTTTCACAGAGTAGGTTTGAAACACTCTTTTTGTAGTATCTGGAAGTGGTCATTTGGAGCGCCTTGACGCCCACGGTGAAAAGGGAAATATCTTCCCATAAAACTAGACAGAAGCAATCTCAGAATCTTCTTTGGGATATATGCATGCAGCTAACAGAGTTGAACCTTTCTATTGACAGAGCAGTTTTGAAACAGTCTTACTGTGGAATCTGCAAGTGGATATTTGGATAGCTTGGAGGATATCTTTGGAAACGGGATTACGTATAAAAAGTAGACAGCAGCATCCTCAGAAACTTCTTTGTGATGTGTGCATTCAAGTCACAGAGTTGAACATTCCCTTTCGTACAGCAGTTTTGAAACACTCTTTCTGTAGTATCTGGAAGTGAACATTAGGACAGCTTTCAGGTCTATGGTGAGAAAGGAAATATCTTCAAATAAAAACTTGAGAGAAGCATTCTCATAAATTTGTTTGTGATGTGTGAACTCAGCTAACAGAGGTGGATCTTTCTTTTGATAGAGCAGTTCTGAAAAACACTTTTTGTTGAATCTGCAAGTGGACATTTGGATAGATTTGAAGATTTCGTTGGAAACGGGAATATCTTCATATCAAATGCTAGACAGAAGCATTCTCAGAAACGTCTTTGCGATGTTTGCATTCAACTCATAGAGTTGAACATTCCGTTTCAGAGAGCAGCTTTGAGGCACTCTTTTTGTAGTATGTGCAAGTGGATATTTGGAGCGCTCTGAGGCCTACGGTGAAAAAGCAAATATCCTTCCCATAACCACTAGACAGAAACATTCTCAGAAACTCCTTTATGACGTATGCACTCACCTAACAGAGAAGAACCTTCCTTTTGACTGAGCACTTTTGATACACTCTTTTTGCAGAATCTGCAAGTGGATATTTGGATAGCTGTGAAGATTTCGTTGGAAACGGGAATATCTTCCTATAAAATCTAGACAGAAGCATTCTCAGAAACTGCTCTGTGATGTCTGCATTCAAGTCACAGAGTTGAACATTGCCTTTCCTAGAGCAGGTTTGAAACGCTCTTTTTGTAGTATATGGAACTGGATGTTTCGGACGGTTTGAGGCCCATGGTGATAAAGGGAATATCTTCCCCTACAAGCTAGAAAGAAGCATTCTGTGAAACTTGTTTGTGATGTGCGTACTCAACTAACAGAGTTGAACCTTTCTTTTTACAGAGCAGTTTTGAAACACTCTTTTTGTAGAATCTGCGAGGGGATATTTGGATACATTTCAGGATTTCGTTGGAAACGGGAATATCTTCATATAAAATCTCGACAGAAGCATTCTCAGAAGCTTCTTTGTGATATGTGCATTCAAGTCACAGAGTTGAATATTCCCTTTCACAGAGTAGGTTTGAAACACTCTTTTTGTAGTATCTGGAAGTGGACATTTGGAGCGCCTTGACGCCTACGTTGAAAAGGGAAATATCTTCTCATAAAAAGTAGACAGAAGCAATCTCAGAATCTTCTTTAGGATATATGCACGCAGCTAACAGAGTTGAACCTTTCTATTGACAGAGCAGTTTTGAAACAGTCTTTCTGTGGAATCTGCAAGTGGATATTTGGATAGCTTGGAGGATTTCGTTGGAAACGGGATTAAGTATAAAAAGTAGACAGCAGCATACTCAGAAACTTCTTTGTGATGTGTGCATTCAAGTCACAGAGTTGAACATTCCCTTTCGTACAGCAGTTTTGAAACACTCTTTCTGTAGTATCTGGAAGTGAACATTAGGACAGCTTTCAGCTCTATGGTGAGAA
Source organism: Homo sapiens (assembly GCF_000001405.40). Taxonomy (NCBI): domain Eukaryota; kingdom Metazoa; phylum Chordata; class Mammalia; order Primates; family Hominidae; genus Homo; species Homo sapiens. The sequence goes on from NC_000013.11 coordinate 17,281,081, forward strand.
AGGAAATATCTTCAAATAAAAACTAGACAGAAGCATTCTCATAAACTTGTTTGTGATGTGTGAACTCAGCTAACAGAGGTGGATCTTTCTTTTGATAGAGCAGTTCTGAAAAACACTTTTTTTTGAATCTGCAAGTGGACATTTGGATAGATTTGAAGATTTCGTTGGAAACGGGAATATCTTCATATCAAATCTAGACAGAAGCATTCTCAGAAACGTCTTTGTGATGTTTGCATTCAACTCATAGAGTTGAACATTCCGTTTCAGAGAGCAGGTTTGAAACACTCTTTTTGTAGTATGTGCAAGTGGATATTTGGAGCGCTCCGAGGCCTACGGTGAAAAAGCAAATATCTTCCCATAACCACTAGACAGAAACCTTCTCAGAAACTCCTTTATGACGTATGCACTCACCTAACAGAAAAGAACCTTCCTTTTGACAGAGCAGTTTTGATACACTCTTTTTGTAGAATCTGCAAGTGGATATTTGGATAGCTGTGAAGATTTCGTTGGAAACGGGAATATCTTCCTATAAAATCTAGACAGAAGCATTCTCAGAAACTGCTCTGTGATGTCTGCATTCAAGTCACAGAGTTGAACATTGCCTTTCATAGAGCAGGTTTGAAACGCTCTTTTTGTAGTATATGGAAGTAGACGTTTCGGACGGTTTGAGACCCATGGTGATAAAGGGAATATCTTCCCCTACAAGCTAGAAAGAAGCATTGTGTGAAACTTGTTTGTGATGTGTGTACTCAACTAACAGAGTTGAACCTTTCTTTTTACAGAGCAGTTTTGAAACACTCTTTTTGTAGAATCTGCGAGGGGATATTTGGATAGATTTCAGGATTTCGTTGTAAACGAGAATATCTTCATATAAAATCTCGACAGAAGCATTCTCAGAAACTTCCTTGTGATATGTGCATTCAAGTCACAGAGTTGAATATTCCCTTTCATAGAGTAGGTTTGAAACACTCTTTTTGTAGTATCTGGAAGTGGACATTTGGAGCGCCTGGACGCCTACGGTGAAAAGGGAAATATCTTCCCATAAAAACTAGACAGAAGCAATCTCAGAATCTTCTTTGGGATATATGCACGCAGCTAACAGAGTTGAACCTTTCTATTGACAGAGCAGTTTTGAAACAGTCTTTCTGTGGAATCTGCAAGTGGATATTTGGACAGCTTGGAGGATTTCGTTGGAAACGGGATTAAGTATAAAAAGTAGACAGCAGCATCCTCAGAAACTTCTTTGTGATGTGTGCATTCAAGTCACAGAGTTGAACATTCCCTTTCGTACAGCAGTTTTGAAACACTCTTTCTGTAGTAACTGGAAGTGAACACTAGGACAGCTTTCAGGTCTATGGTGAGAAAGGAAATATCTTCAAATAAAAACTAGACAGAAGCATTCTCATAAACTTGTTTTGTGATGTGTGAACTCAGCTAACAGAGGTGGATCTTTCTTTTGATAGAGCAGTTCTGAAAAACACTTTTTGTTGAATCTGCAAGTGGACATTTGGATAGATTTGAAGATTTCGTTGGAAACGGGAATATCTTCATATCAAATCTAGACAGAAGCATTCTCAGAAACGTCTTTGCGATGTTTGCATTCAACTCATAGAGTTGAACATTCCGTTTCAGAGAGCAGCTTTGAGGCACTCTTTTTGTAGTATGTGCAAGTGGATATTTGGAGCGCCCTGAGGCCTACGGTGAAAAAGCAAATATCTTCCCATAACCACTAGACAGAAACATTCTCAGAAACTCCTTTATGACCTATGCACTCACCTATAAGAGAAGAACCTTCCTTTTGACAGAGCAGTTTTGATACACTCTTTTTGTAGAATCTGCAAGTGGATATTTGGATAGCTGTGAAGATTTCGTTGGAAACGGGAATATCTTCCTATAAAATCTAGACAGAAGCATTCTCAGAAACTGCTCTGTGATATCTGCATTCAAGTCACAGAGTTGAACATTGCTTTTCATAGAGCAGGTTTGAAACGCTCTTTTTGTAGTATATGGAAGTAGACGTTTCGGACGGTTTGAGGCCCATGGTGATAAAGGGAATATCTTCCCCTACAAGCTAGAAAGAAGCATTCTGTGAAACTTGTTTGTGATGTGTGTACTCAACTAACAGAGTTGAACTTTTCTTTTCACAGAGCAGTTTTGAAACACTCTTTTTGTAGAATCTGCGAGGGGATATTTGGATAGATTTCAGGATTTCGTTGGAAACGGGAATATCTTCATATAAAATCTCGACAGAAGCATTGTCAGAAACTTCTTTGTGATATGTGCATTCAAGTCACAGAGTTGAATATTCCCTTTCACAGAGTAGGTTTGAAACACTCTTTTTGTAGTATCTGGAATTGGACATTTGGAGCGCCTTGACACCTACGGTGAAAAGGGAAATATCTTCCCATAAAAACTAGACAGAAGCAATCTCAGAATCTTCTTTGGGATATATGCACGCAGCTAACAGAGTTGAACATTTCTATTTACAGAGCAGTTTTGAAACAGTCGTTCTGTGGAATCTGCAAGTGGATATTTCGATAGCTTGGAGGATTTCGTTGGAAACGGGATTACGTATCAAAAGTACACAGCAGCATCCTCAGAAACTTCTTTGTGATGTGTGCATTCAAGTCACAGAGTTGAACATTCCCTTTCGTACAGCAGTTTTGAAACACTCTTTCTGTAGTATCTGGAAGTGAACATTAGGACAGCTTTCAGCTCTATGGTGAGAAAGGAAATATCTTCAAATCAAAACTAGACAGAAGCACTCTCATAAACTTGTTTGTGATGTGTGAACTCAGCTAACAGAGGTGGATCTTTCTTTTGATAGAGCAGTTCTGAAAAACACTTTTTGTTGAATCTGCAAGAGGACATTTGGATAGATTTGAAGATTTCGTTGGAAACGGGAATATCTTCATATCAAATCTAGACAGAAGCATTCTCAGAAACGTCTTTGCGATGTTTGCATTCAACTCATAGAGTTGAACATTCCGTTTCAGAGAGCAGCTTTGAAGCACTCTTTTTGTAGCATGTGCAAGTGGATATTTGGAGCGCCCTGAGGCCTACGGGGAAAAAGCAAATATCTTCCCATAACCACTAGACAGAAAACATTCTCAGAAACTCCTTTATGACGTATGTACTCAACTAACAGAGAAGAACCTTCTTTTTGACTGAGCAGTTTTGATACACTCTTTTTGTAGAATCTGCAAGTGCATATTTGGATAGCTGTGAAGATTTCGTTGGAAACGGGAATATCTTCCTATAAAATCTAGACAGAAGCATTCTCAGAAACTGATCTGTGATGTCTGCATTCAAGTCACAGAGTTGAACATTGCCTTTCATAGAGCAGGTTTGAAACGCTCTTTTTGTAGTATATGGAAGTAGACGTTTCGGACGGTTTGAGGCCCATGGTGATAAAGGGAATATCTTCCCCTGCAAGCTAGAAAGAAGCATTCTGTGAAACTTGTTTGTGATGTGTGTACTCAACTAACAGAGTTGAACCTTTCCTTTTACAGAGCAGTTTTGAAACACTCTTTTTGTAGAATCTGCGAGGGGATATTTGGATAGATTTCAGGATTTCGTTGGAAACGGGAGTATCTTCATATAAAATCTCGACAGAAGCATTTTCAGAAACTTCTTTGTGATATGTGCATTCAAGTCACAGAGTTGAATATTCCCTTTCACAGAGTAGGTTTGAAACACTCTTTTTGTAGTATCTGGAAGTGGACATTTGGAGCGCCTTGACGCCTACGGTGAAAAGGGAAATATCTTCCCATAAAAACTAGACAGAAGCAATCTCAGAATCTTTTTTGGGATATATGCACGCAGCTAACAGAGTTGAACCTTTCTATTGACAGAGCAGTTTTGAAACAGTCTTTCTGTGGAATCTGCAAGTGGATATTTGGATAGCTTGGAGGATTTCGTTGGAAACGGGATTACGTATAAAAAGTAGACAGCAGCATCCTCAGCAAACTTCTTTGTGATGTGTGCATTCAAGTCACAGAGTTGAACATTCCCTTTCGTACAGCAGTTTTGAAACACTCTTTCTGTAGTATCTGGAAGTGAACATTAGGACAGCTTTCAGGTCTATGGTGAGAAAGGAAATATCTTCAAATAAAAACTAGACAGAAGCATTCTGATAAACTTGTTTGTGAAGTGTGATCTCAGCTAACAGAGGTGGATCTTTCTTTTGATAGAGCAGTTCTGAAAAACACTTTTTGTTGAATCTGCAAGTGGATATTTGGATAGATTTGAAGATTTCGTTGGAAACGGGAATATCTTCATATTAAATCTAGACAGAAGCATTCTCAGAAACGTCTTTGTGATGTTAGCATTCAACTCATAGAGTTGAACATTCCCTTTCAGAGAGCAGCTTTGAAGCACTCTTTTTGTAGTATGTGCAAGTGGACATTTGGAGCGCTTTGAGGCCTACGGGGAAAAAGCAAATATCTTCCCATAACCACTAGACAGGAACATTCTCAGAAACTCCTTTATGACGTATGCACTCACCTAACAGAGAAGAACCTTCCTTTTGACAGAGCAGTTTTGAGATACTCTTTTTGTAGAATCTGCAAGTGGATATTGGGATAGCTGTGAAGATTTCGTTGGAAACGGGAATATCTTCCTATAAAATCTAGACAGAAGCATTCTCAGAAACTGCTCTGTGATGTCTGCATTCAAGTCATAGAGTTGAACATTGCCTTTCATAGAGCAGGTTTGAAACGCTCTTTTTGTAGTATATGGAAGTGGACGTTTCGGACGGTTTGAGGCCCATGGTGATAAAGGGAATATCTTCCCCTACAAGCTAGAAAGAAGCATTGTGTGAAACTTATTTGTGATGTGTGTACTCAACTAACAGAGTTGAACCTTTCTTTTTACAGAGCAGTTTTGAAACACTCTTTTTGTAGAATCTGCGAGGGGATATTTGGATAGATTTCAGCATTTCGTTGGAAACGGGAATATCTTCATATAAAATACTCGACAGAAGCATTCTCAGAAACTTCCTTGTGATATGTGCATTCAAGTCACAGAGTTGAATATTCCCTTTCACAGAGTAGGTTTGAAACAGTCTTTTTGTAGTATCTGGAAGTGGACATTTGGAGCGCCTTGATGCCTACGGTGAAAAGGGAAATATCTTCCCATAAAAACTAGACAGAAGCAATCTCAGAATCTTCTTTGGGATATATGCACGCAGCTAACAGAGTTGAACCTTTCTATTGACAGAGCAGTTTTGAAACAGTCTTTCTGGGGAATCTGCAAGTGGATATTTGGATAGCTTGGAGGATTTCGTTGGAAACAGGATTACGTATAAAAAGTAGACAGCAGCATCCTCAGGAAACTTCTTTGTGATGTGTGCATTCAAGTGACAGAGTTGAACATTCCCTTTCGTACAGCAGTTTTGAAACACTCTTTCTGTAGTATCTGGAAGTGAACATTAGGACAGCTTTCAGCTCTATGGTGAGAAAGGAAATATCTTCAAATAAAAACTAGACAGAAGTATTCTCATAAACTTGTTTGTGATGTGTGAACTCAGCTAACAGAGGTGGACCTTTCTTTTGATAGAGCAGTTCTGAAAAACACTTTTTGTTGAATCTGCAAGTGGACATTTGGATAGATTTGAAGATTTCGTTGGAAACGGGAATATCTTCATATCAAATCTAGACAGAAGCATTCTCGGAAACGTCTTTGTCATGTTTGCATTCAACTCATAGAGTTGAACATTCCCTTTCAGAGAGCAGCTTTGAAGCACTCTTTTTGTAGTATGTGCAAGGGGATATTTGGAGTGCTCTGAGGCCTACGGTGAAAAAGCAAATATCTTCCCATAAACACTAGACAGAAACATTCTCAGAAACTCCTTTATGACGTATGCACTCACCTAACAGAGAAGAACCTTCCTTTTGACAGAGCAGTTTTGATACACTCTTTTTGTAGAATCTGCAAGTGGATATTTGGATACCTGTGAAGATTTCGATGTAAACGGGAATATCTTCCTATAAAATCTAGACAGAAGCATTCTCAGAAACTGCTCTGTGATGTCTGCTTTCAAGTCACAGAGTTGAACATTGCCTTTCATAGAGCAGGTTTGAAACGCTCTTTTTGTAGTATATGGAAGTGGACTTTTCGGACGGTTTGAGGCCCATGGTGATAAAGGGAATATCTTCCCCTACAAGCTAGAAAGAAGCATTCTGTGAAACTTGTTTGTGATGTGTGTACTCAACTAACAGAGTTGAACCTTTCTTTTTACAGAGCAGTTTTGAAACACTCTTTTTGTAGAATCTGCGAGGGGATATTTGGATAGATTTCAGGATTTCGTTGGAAACGGGAATATCTTCATATAAAATCGCGACAGAAGCATTCTTAGAAACTTTTTGTGATACCTACATTCAAATCAAAGAGTTGAATATTCCCTTTCACACAGTAGGTTTGAAACACTCTTTTTGTAGTATCTGGAAGTGGACATTTGGAGCGCCTTGACGCCTACGGTGAAAAAGGAAATATGTTCCCATAAAAACTAGACAGCAGCAATCTCAGAATCTTCTTTGGGATATATGTACGCAGCTAACAGAGTTGAACTTTTCTATTGACAGAGCAGTTTTGAAACAGTCTTTCTGTTAAATCTGCAAGTGGATATTTGGATAGCTTGGAGGATTTCGTTGGAAACGGGATTACATATAAAAAGTAGACAGCAGCATCCTCAGAAACTTCTTTGTGATGTGTGCATTCAAGTCACACAGTTGAACATTCCCTTTCGTACAGCAGTTTTGAAACACTCTTTCTGTAGTATCTGGAAGTGAACATTAGGACAGCTTTCAGCTCTATGGTGAGAAAGGAAATATCTTCAAATAAAAACTAGACAGAAGCATTCTCATAAACTTGTTTGTGATGTGTGAACTCAGCTAACAGAGGTGGATCTTTCTTTTGATAGAGCAGTTCTGAAAAACACTTTTTGTTGAATATGCAAGTGGACATTTGGATAGATTTGAAGATTTCGTTGGAAACGGGAATATCTTCATATCAAATCTAGACAGAAGCATTCCCAGAAACGTCTTTGTGATGTCTGCATTCAACTCATAGAGTTGAACATTCCCTTTCAGAGAGCAGCTTTGAAGCACTCTTTTTGTAGTATGTGCAAGGGGATAATTGGAGTGCTCTGAGGCCTAGGGTGAAAAAGCAAACATCTTCCCATAACCACTAGACAGAAACATTCTCAGAAACTCCTTTATGACGTATGCACTCACCTAACAGAGAAGAACCTTCCTTTTGACAGAGCAGTTTTGATACACTCTTTTTGTAGAATCTGCAAGTGGATATTTGGATAGCTGTGAAGATTTCGTTGGAAACGGGAATATCTTCCTATAAAATCTAGACAGAAGCATTCTCAGAAACTGCTCTGTGTTGTCTGCATTCAAGTCACAGAGTTGAACATTGCCTTTCATAGAGCAGGTTTGAAACACTCTTTTTGTAGTATATGGAAGTGGACGTTTCGGACGGTTTGAGGCCCATGGTGATTTAGGGAATATCTTCCCCTACAAGCTAGAAAGAAGCATTCTGTGAAACTAGTTTGTGATGTGTGTACTCAACTAACAGTAGTTGAACCTTTCTTTTCACAGGAGCAGTTTTGAAACACTCTTTTTGTAGAATCTGCGAGGGGATATTTGGATAGATTTCAGCATTTCGTTGGAAACGGGAATATCTTCATATAAAATCTCGACAGAAGCATTCTCCGAAACTTCCTTGTGATATGTGCATTCAAGTCACAGAGTTGAATATTCCCTTTCACAGAGTAGGTTTGAAACACTCTTTTTGTAGTATCTGGAAGTGGACATTTGGAGCGCCTTGACGCCTACGGTGAAAAGGGAAATATCTTCCCATAAAAACTAGACAGAAGCAATCTCAGAATCTTCTTTGGGATATATGCACGCAGCTAACAGACTTGAATCTTTCTGTTGACAGAGCAGATTTGAAACAGTCTTTCTGTGGAATCTGCAAGTGGATATTTGGATAGATTGGAGGATTTCGTTGGAAACGGGATTACATATAAAAAGTAGACAGCAGCATCCTCCGAAACTTCTTTGTGATGTGTGCATTCAAGTCACAGAGTTGAACATTCCCTTTCGTACAGCAGTTTTGAAACACTCTTTCTGTAGTATCTGGAAGTGAACATTAGGACAGCGTTCAGCTCTATGGTGAGAAAGGAAATATCTTCAAATAAAAACTAGACAGAAGCATTCTCATAAACTTGTTTGTGATGTGTGAACTCAGCTAACAGAGGTGGATCTTTCTTTTGATAGAGCAGTTCTGAAAAACACTTTTTGTTGAATCTGCAAGTGGACATTTGGATAGATTTGAAGATTTCGTTGGAAACGGGAATACCTTTATATCAAATCTAGACAGAAGCATTCTCAGAAACGTCTTTGTCATGTTTGCATTCAACTCATAGAGTTGAACATTCCCTTTCAGAGAGCAGCTTTGAAAGACTCTTTTTGTAGTATGTGCAAGTGGATATTTGGAGCGCTACTGAGGCCTACGGTGAAAAAGCAAATATCTTCCCATAACCACTAGACAGAAACATTCTCAGAAACTCCTTTATGACGTATGTACTCAACTAACAGAGAAGAACATTCTTTTTGACAGAGCAGTTTTGATACACTCTTTTTGTAGAATCTGCAAGTGCATATTTGGATAGCTGTGAAGATTTCGTTGGAAACGGGAATATCTTCCTATAAAATCTAGACAGAAGCATTCTCAGAAACTGCTCTGTGATGTCTGCATTCAAGTCACAGAGTTGAACATTGCCTTTCATAGAGCAGGTTTGAAACGCTCTTTTTGTAGTATATGGAAGTGGACGTTTTGGACGGTTTGAGGCCCATGGTGATAAAGGGAATATCTTCCCCTACAAGCTAGAAAGAAGCATTCTGTGAAACTTGTTTGTGATGTGTGTACTCAACTAACAGAGTTGAACCTTTCTTTTCACAGAGCAGTTTTGAAACACTCTTTTTGTAGAATCTGCGAGGGGATATTTGGATAGATTTCAGGATTTCGTTGGAAACGGGAATACCTTCATATAAAATCTCGACAGAAGCATTCTCAGAAAGTTCTTTGTGATATGTGCATTGAAGTCACAGAGTTGAATATTCCCTTTCACAGAGTAGGTTTGAAACACTCTTTTTGTAGTATCTGGAAGTGGACATTTGGAGCGCCTTGACACCTACGGTGAAAAGGGAAATATCTTCCCATAAAAACTAGACAGAAGCAATCTCAGAATCTTCTTTGGGATATATGCACGCAGCTAACAGAGTTGAACCTTTCTATTGACAGAGCAGTTTTGAAATAGTCTTTCTGTGGAATCTGCAAGTGGATATTTGGATAGCTTGGAGGATTTCGTTGGAAACGGGATTAGGTATAAAAGTAGACAGCAGCCTCCTCTGAAACTTCTTTGTGATGTGTGCATTCAAGTCACAGAGTTGAACATTCCCTTTCGTACAGCAGTTTTGAAACACTCTTTCTGTAGTATCTGGAAGTGAACATTAGGACAGCTTTCAGGTCTATGGTGAGAAAGGAAATATCTTCAAATAAAAACTAGACAGAAGCATTCTCATAAACTTGTTTGTGATGTGTGAACTCAGCTAACAGAGGTGGATCTTTCTTTTGATAGAGCAGTTCTGAAAAACACTTTTTGTTGAATCTGCAAGTGGACATTTGGATAGATTTGAAGATTTCGTTGTAAACGGGAATATCTTCATATCAAATCTAGACAGAAGCATTCCCAGAAACGTCTTTGTGATGTTTGCATTCAACTCATAGAGTTGAACATTCCGTTTCAGAGAGCAGCTTTGAAGCACTCTTTTTGTAGTATGTGCAAGTGGATATTTGGAGCGCTCTGAGGCCTACGGTGAAAAAGCAAGTATCTTCCCATAACCACTAGACAGAAACATTCTCAGAAACTCCTTTATGACGTATGTACTCAACTAACAGAGAAGAACCTTCCTTTTGACAGAGCAGTTTTGACACACTCTTTTTGTAGAATCTGCAAGTGGATATTTGGATAGCTGTGAAGATTTCGTTGGAAACGGGAATATCTTCCTATAAATTCTAGACAGAAGCATTCTCAGAAACTGCTCTGTGATGTCTGCATTCAAGTCACAGAGTTGAACATTGCCTTTCATAGAGCAGGTTTGAAACGCTCTTTTTGTAGTATATGGAAGTGGATGTTTCGGACAGTTGGAGGCCCATGGTGATAAAGGGAATATCTTCCCCTGCAAGCTAGAAAGAAGCATTCTGTGAAACTTGTTTGTGATGTGTGTACTCAACTAACAGAGTTGAACCTTTCTTTTTACACAGCAGTTTTGAAACACTCTTTTTGTAGAATCTGCGAGGGGATATTTGGATAGATTTCAGGATTTCGTTGGAAACGGGAATACCTTCATATAAAATCTCGACAGAAGCATTCTCAGAAACTTCTTTGTGATATGTGCATTCAAGTCACAGAGTTGAATATTCCCTTTCACAGAGTAGGTTTGAAACACTCTTTTTGTAGTATCTGGAAGTGGACATTTGGAGCGCCTTGACACCTACGGTGAAAAGCGAAATATCTTCCCACAAAAACTAGACAGAAGCAATCTCAGAATCTTCTTTGGGATATATGCACGCAGCTAACAGAGTTGAACCTTTCTATTGACAGAGCAGTTTTGAAACAGTCTTTCTGTGGAATCTGCAAGTGGATATTTGGAAAGCTTGGAGGATTTCGTTGGAAACGGGATTAAGTATAAAAAGTAGACAGCAGCATCCTCAGAAACTTCTTTGTGATGTGTGCATTCAAGTCACAGAGTTGAACATTCCCTTTCGTACAACAGTTTTGAAGCACTCTTTCTGTAGTATCTGGAAGTGAACATTAGGACAGCTTTCAGGTCTATGGTGAGAAAGGAAATATCTTCAAATAAAAACTAGACAGAAGCATTCTCATAAACTTGTTTATGATGTGTGAACTCAGCTAACAGAGGTGGATCTTTCTTTTGATAGAGCAGTTCTGAAAAACACTTTTTGTTGAATCTGCAAGTGGACATTTGGATAGATTTGAAGATTTCGTTGGAAACGGGAATATTTTCATATCAAATCTAGACAGAAGCATTCTCAGAAACGTCTTTGCGATGTTTGCATTCAACTCATAGAGTTGAACATTCCGTTTCAGAGAGCAGCTTTGAAGCACTCTTTTTGTAGTATGTGCAAGTGGATATTTGGAGCGCTCTGAGGCCTACGGGGAAAAAGCAAATATCTTCCCATAACCACTAGACAGAAACATTCTCAGAAACTCCTTTATGACGTATGCACTCACCTAACAGAGAAGAACCTTCCTTTTGACAGAGCAGTTTTGATACACTCTTTTTGTAGAATCTGCAAGTGGATATTTGGATAGCCGTGAAGATTTCGTTGGAAACGGGAATATCTTCCTATAAAATCTAGACAGAAGCATTCTCAGAAACTGCTCTGTGATGTCTGCATTCAAGTCACAGAGTTGAACATTGCCTTTCATAGAGCAGGTTTGAAACGCTCTTTTTGTAGTATATGGAAGTGGATGTTTCGGACGGTTGGAGGCCCATGGTGATAAGGGGAATATCTTCCCCTACAAGCTAGAAAGAAAGCATTCTGTGAAACTTGTTTGTGATGTGTGTACTCAACTAACAGAGTTGAACCTTTCTTTTTACAGAGCAGTTTTGAAACACTCTTTTTGTAGAATCTGCGAGGGGATATTTGGATAGATTTCAGGATTTCGTTGGAAACGGGAATATCTTCATATAAAATCTCGACAGAGCATTCTCTGAAACTTCTTTTTGATATGTGCATTCAAGTCACAGAGTTCAATATTCCCTTTCACAGAGTAGGTTTGAAACACTCTTTTTGTAGTATCTGAAGTGGACATTTGGAGCGCCTTGACGCCTACGGTGAAAAGGGAAATATCTTCTCATAAAAAGTAGACAGAAGCAATCTCAGAATCTTCTTTGGGATATATGCACGCAGCTAACAGAGTTGAACCTTTCTATTGACAGAGCAGTTTTGAAACAGTCTTTCTGTGGAATCTGCAAGTGGATATTTGGATAGCTTGAAGGATTTCGTTGGAAACGGGATTACGTATAAAAAGTAGACAGCAGCATCCTCAGAAACTTCTTTGTGATGTGTGCATTCAAGTCACAGAGTTGAACATTCCCTTTCGTACAGCAGTTTTGAAACACTTTCTGTAGTATCTGGAAGTGAACATTAGGACAGCTTTCAGGTCTATGGTGAGAAAGGAAATATCTTCAAATAAAAACTAGACAGAAGCATTCTGATAAACTTGTTTGTGAAGTGTGAACTCAGCTAACAGTGGTGGATCTTTCTTTTGATACAGCAGTTTTGAAAAACACTTTGTTGAATCTGCAAGTGGACATTTGGATAGATTTGAAGATTTCGTTGGAAACGGGAATATCTTCATATCAAATCTAGACAGAAGCATTCTCGGAAACGTCTTTGTGATGTTTGCATTCAACTCATAGAGTTGAACATTCCGTTTCAGAGAGCAGCTTTGAGGCACTCATTTTGTAGTATGTGCAAGTTGATATTTGGAGCGCTCTGAGGCCTTCGGTGAAAAAGCAAATATCTTCCCATAACCACTAGACAGAAACGTTCTCAGAAACTCCTTTATGACGTATGCACTCACCTAACAGAGAAGAACCTTCCTTTTGACAGAGCAGTTTTGATACACTCTTTTTGTAGAATCTGCAAGTGGATATTGGGATAGCTGTGAAGATTTCGTTGGAAACGGGAATATCTTCCTATAAAATCTAGACAGAAGCATTCTCAGAAACTGCTATGTGATGTCTGCATTCAAGTCACAGAGTTGAACATTGCCTTTCCTAGAGCAGGTTTGAAACGCTCTTTTTGTAGTATATGGAAGTGGAAGTTTCGGACGGTTTGAGGCACATGGTGATAAAGGGAATATCTTCCCCTACAAGCTAGAAAGAAGCATTCTGTGAAACTTTTTTGTGATGTGTGTACTCAACTAACAGAGTTGAACCATTCTTTTTACAGAGCAGTTTTGAAACACTCTTTTTGTAGAATCTGCGTGGGGATATTTGGATAGATTTCAGGATTTCGTTGGAAACGGGATTATCTTCATATAAAATCTCGACAGAAGCATTCTCAGAAACTTCTTTGTGATATGTGTATTCAAGTCACAGAGTTGAATACTCCCTTTCACAGAGTAGGTTTGAAACACTCTTTTTGTAGTATCTGGAAGTGGACATTTGGAGCGCCTTGACGCCTACGGTGAAAAGGGAAATATCTTCCCATAAAAACTAGACAGAAGTAATCTCAGAATCTTCTTTGGGATATATGCACGCAGCTAACAGAGTTGAATCTTTCTATTGACAGAGCAGTTTTGAAACAGTCTTTCTGTGGAATCTGCAAGTGGATATTTGGATAGCTTGGAGGATTTCGTTGGAAACGGGATTACGTATAAAAAGTAGACAGCAGCATCCTCAGAAACTTCTTTGTGATGTGTGCATTCAACTCACAGAGTTGAACATTCCCTTTCGTACAGCAGTTTTGAAACACTCTTTCTGTAGTAACTGGAAGTGAACATTAGGACAGCTTTCAGGTCTATGGTGAGAAAGGAAATATCTTCAAATAAAAACTAGACAGAAGCATTTTCATAAACTTGTTTGTGATGTGTGAACTCAGCTAACAGAGGTGGATCTTTCTTTTGATAGAGCAGTTCTGAAAAACACTTTTTGTTGAATCTGCAAGTGGACATTTGGATAGATTTGAAGATTTCGTTGGAAACGGGAATAACTTCATATCAAATCTAGACAGAAGCATTCTCAGAAACGTCTTTGTGATGTTTGCATTCAACTCATAGAGTTGAACATTCACTTTCAGAGAGCAGCTTTGAAGCACTCTTTTTGTAGTATGTGCAAGTGGATGTTTTGATCGCTCTGTGGCCTACGGTGAAAAAGCAAATATCTTCCCATAACCACTAGACAGAAACATTCTCAGAAACTCCTTTATGACGTATGCACTCACCTAACAGAGAAGAACCTTCCTTTTGACAGAGCAGTTTTGATACACTCTTTTTGTAGAATCTGCAAGTGGATATTTGGATAGCTGTGAAGATTTCGTTGGAACGGGAATATCTTCCTATAAAATCTAGACAGAAGCATTCTCAGAAACTGCTCTGTGATGTCTGCATTCAAGTCACAGAGTTGAACATTGCCTTTCATAGAGCAGGTTTGAAATGCTCTTTTTGCAGTATATGGAAGTGGACGTTTCAGACGGTTTGAGGCCCATGGTGATAAAGGGAATATCTTCCCCTACAAGCTAGAAAGAAGCATTCTGTGAAACTTGTTTGTGATGTGTGTACTCAACTAACAGAGTTGAACCTTTCTTTTTACAGAGCACTTTTGAAACACTCTTTTTGTAGAATCTGCGAGGGGATATTTGGATAGATTTCAGGATTTGGTTGGAAACTGGAATATCTTCATATAAAATCTCGACAGAAGCATTCTCAGAAACTTCTTTGTGATATCTGCCTTTAAGTCACAGAGTTGAATATTCCCTTTCACAGAGTAGGTTTGAAACACTCTTTTTGTAGTATCTGGAAGTGAACATTTGGAGCGCCTTGACACCTACGGTGAAAAGGGAAATATCTTCCCATAAAAACTAGACAGAAGCAATCTCAGAATCTTCTTTGGGATATATGCACGCAGCTAACAGAGTTGAACCTTTCTATTGACAGAGCAGTTTTGAAACAGTCTTTCTATGGATTCTGCAAGTGGATATTTGGATAGCTTGGAGGATTTCGTTGGAAACGGGATTACGTATAATAAGTAGACAGCAGCATCCTCAGAAACTTCTTTCTGATGTGTGCATTCAAGTCACAGAGTTGAACATTCCCTTTCGTACAGCAGTTTTGAAACACTCTTTCTGTAGTATCTGGAAGTGAACATTAGGACAGCTTTCAGGTCTATGGTGAGAAAGGAAATATCTTCAAATAAAAATTAGACAGAAGCATTCTCAAAAACATGTTTGCGATGTCTGAACTCAGCTAACAGAGGTGGATCTTTCTTTTGATAGAGCAGTTCTGAAAAACACTTTTTGTTGAATCTGCAAGTGGACATTTGGATAGATTTGAAGATTTCGTTGGAAACGGGAATATCTTCATATCAAATCTAGACAGAAGCATTCTCAGAAACGTCTTTGCGATGTTTGCATTCAACTCATAGAGTTGAACATTCCCTTTGAGAGAGCAGCTTTGAAGCACTCTTTTTGTAGCATGTGCAAGTGGACATTTGGAGCGCCCTGAGGCCTACGGGGAAAAAGCAAATATCTTCCCATAACCACTAGACAGAAACATTCTCAGAAACTCCTTTATGACGTATGCACTCACCTAACAGAGAAGAACCTTCCTTTTGAGAGAGCAGTTTTGATACACTCTTTTTGTAGAATCTGCAAGTGGATATTTGGATAGCTGTGAAGATTTCGTTGGAAACGGGAATATCTTCCTATAAAATCTAGACAGAAGCATTCTCAGAAACTGCTCTGTGATGTCTGCATTCAAGTCACAGAGTTGAACATTGCCTTTCCTGGAGCAGGTTTGAAACGCTCTTTTTGTAGTATATGGAAGTGGACGTTTCGGACGGTTTGAGGCCCATGGTGATAAAGGGAATATCTTCCCCTACAAGCTAGAAAGAAGCATTCTGTGAAACTTGTTTGTGATGTGTGTACTCAACTAACAGAGTTGAACCTTTCTTTTTAAAGAGCAGTTTTGAAACACTCTTTTTGTAGAATCTGCGAGGGGATATTTGGAGAGATTTCAGGATTTCGTTGGAAACGGGAATATCTTCATATAAAATCTCGACAGAAGCATTCTCAGAAACTTCATTGTGATATCTGCATTCAAGTCACAGAGCGGAATATTCCCTTTCAGAGAGTAGGTTTGAAACACTCTTTTTGTAGTATCTGGAAGTGGACATTTGGAGCGCCTTGACACCTACGGTGAAAAGGGAAATATCTTCCCATGAAAACTAGACAGAAGCAATCTCAGAATTTTCTTTGGGATATATGCACACAGCTAACAGAGTTGAACTTTTCTATTGAAATAGCAGTTTTGAAACAGTCTTTCTGTGGAATCTGCAAGTGGATATTTGGATAGCTTGGAGGATTTCGTTGGAAACGGGATTACGTATAAAAAGTAGACAACAGCATCCTCAGAAACATCCTTGTGATGTGTGCATTCAAGTCACAGAGTTGAACATTCCCTTTCGTACAGCAGTTTTGAAACACTCTTTCTGTAGTATCTGGAAGTGAACTTTAGGACAGCTTTCAGGTCTATAGTGAGAAAGGATATATCTTCAAATAAAAACTAGACAGAAGCATTCTCATAAACTTGTTCGTGATGTGTGAACTCAGCTAAGAGCCGTGGATCTTTCTTTTGATAGAGCAGTTCTGAAAAACACTTTTTGTTGAATCTGCAAGTGGACATTTGGATAGATTTGAAGATTTCTTTGGAAACGGGAATATCTTCATATCAAATCTAGACAGAAGCATTCTCAGAAACGTCTTTGTGATGTTTGCATTCAACTCATAGAGTTGAACATTCCCTTTCAGAGAGCAGTTTTGAAGCACTCTTTTTGTAGTAAGTGCAAATTGACATTTGGAGCGCTTTGAGGCCTAAGGGGAAAAAGCAAATATCTTCCCATAACCACTAGACAGAAACATTCTCAGAAACTCCTTTATGACGTATGCACTCACCTAACAGAGAAGAACCTTCCATTTGACAGAGCAGTTTTGATACACTCTTTTTGTAGAATCTGCAAGTGGATATTTGGATAGCTGTGAAGATTTCGTTGGAAACGGGAATATCTTCCTATAAAATCTAGACAGAAGCATTCTCAGAAACTGCTCTGTGATGTCTGCATTCAAGTCACAGAGTTGAACATTGCTTTTCCAAGAACAGGTTTGAAACGCTCTTTTTGTAGTATATGGAAGTGGACGTTTCGGACGGTTTGAGGCCCATGGTGATAAAGTGAATATCTTCCCCTACAAGCTAGAAAGAAAGCATTCTGTGAAACTTATTTGTGATGTGTGTACTCAACTAACAGAGTTGAACCTTTCTTTTTACAGAGCAGTTTTGAAACACTCTTTTTGTAGAATCTGCGAGGGGATATTTGGATAGATTTCAGGATTTCTTTGGAAACGGGAATATCTTCATATAAAATCTCGACAGAAGCATTCTCAGAAACTTCTTTGTGATATGTGCATTCAAGTCACAGAGTTGAATATTCCCTTTCACCGAGTAGGTTTGAAACACTCTTTTTGTAGTATCTGGAAGTGGACATTTGGAGCGCCTTGACGCCTACGGTGAAAAGGGAAATATCTTCCCATAAAAACTAGACAGAAGCAATCTCAGAATCTTCTTTGGGATATATGCACGAAGCTAACAGAGTTGAACCTTTCTATTGACAGAGCAGTTTTGAAACAGTCTTTCTGTGGAATCTGCAAGTGGATATTTGGATAGCTTGGAGGATTTCAATGGAAACGGGATTACGTATAAAAAGTAGACAGCAGCATCCTCAGAAACTTCTTTGTGATGTGTGCATTCAAGTCACAGAGTTGAACATTCCCTTTCGTACAGCAGTTTTGAAACACTCTTTCTGTAGCATCTGGAAGTGAACATTAGGACAGCTTTCAGGTCTATGGTGAGAAAGGAAATATCTTCAAATAAAAACTAGACAGACAAGCATTCTCATAAACTTGTTTGTGATGTGTGAACTCAGCTAACAGACGTGGATCTTTCTTTTGATACAGCAGTTTTGAAAAACACTTTTTGTTGAATCTGCAAGTGGACATTTGGATAGATTTGAAGATTTCGTTGGAAACGGGAATATCTTCATATCAAATCTAGACAGAAGCATTCTCAGAAACGTCTTTGTGATGTTTGCATTCAACTCATAGAGTTGAACATTCCGTTTCAGAGAGCAGCTTTGAAGCACTCTTTTTGTAGTATGTGCAAGTGGATATTTGGATCGCTCTGAGGCCTACGGTGAAAAAGCAAATATCTTCCCGTAACCACTAAACAGAAACATTCTCAGAAACTCCTTTATGACGTATGTACGCAACTAACAGAGAAGAACCTTCTTTTTGACAGAGCAGTTTTGATACACTCTTTTTGTAGAATCTCCAAGTGGATATTTGGATAGCTGTGAAGATTTCGTTGGAAACGGGAATATCTTCCTATAAAATCTAGACAGAAGCATTCTCAGAAACTGCTCTGTGATGTCTGCATTCAAGTCACAGAGTTGAACATTGCCTTTCATAGAGCAGGTTTGAAACGCTCTTTTTGTAGTATATGGAAGTGGACTTATCGGACGGTTTGAGGCCCATGGTTATAAAGGGAATATCTTCCCCTACAAGCTAGAAAGAAGCATTCTGTGAAACTTGTTTGTGATGTGTGTACTCAACTAACAGAGTTGAACCTTTCTTTTCACAGAGCAGTTTTGAAACACTCTTTTTGTAGAATCTGCGAGGGGATATTTGGATAGATTTCAGGATTTGGTTGGAAACGGGAATATCTTCATATAAAATCTCGACAGAAGCATTCTCAGAAACTTCTTTGTGATATGTGCATTCAAGTCTCAGTGTTGAATATTCCCTTTCACAGAGTAGGTTTGAAACACTCTTTTTGTTGTATCTGGAAGTGGACATTTGGAGCGCCTTGACACCTACGATGAAAAGGGAAATATCTTCCCATAAAAACTAGACAGAAGCAATCTCAGAATCTTCTTTGGGATATATGCAGGCAGCTAACAGAGTTGAACATTTGTATTGACAGAGCAGTTTTGAAACAGTCTTTCTGTGGAATCTGCAAGTGGATATTTGGATAGCTTGGAAGTTTTCTTTGGAAACGGGATTACGTAAAAAAAGTAGACTGCAGCATCCTCAGAAACATCCTTGTGATGTGTGCATTCAAGTCACAGAGTTGAACATTCCCTTTCGTACAGCAGTTTTGAAACACTCTTTCTGTAGTATCTGGAAGTGAACTTTAGGACAGCTTTCAGGTCTATAGTGAGAAAGGATATATTTTCAAATAAAAACTAGACGGAAGCATTCTGATAAACTTGTTTGTGAAGTGTGATCTCAGCTAACAGAGGTGGATCTTTCTTTGAATAGAGCAGTTCTGAAAAACACTTTGTTGAATCTGGAAGTGGACATTTGGATAGATTTCAAGATTTCGTTGGAAACGGGAATATCTTCATATCAAATCTAGACAGAAGCATTCTCAGAAACGTCTTTGCGATGTTTGCATTCAACTCATAGAGTTGAACATTCCCTTTCAGAGAGCAGCTTTGAAGCACTCTTTTTGTAGTATGTGCAAGTTGACATTTGGAGCGCTTTGAGGCCTACGGGGAAAAAGCAAATATCTTCCCATAACCACTAGACAGAATCATTCTCAGAAACTCCTTTATGACGTATGCACTCACCTAACAGAGAAGAACCTTCCTTTTGACAGAGCAGTTTTGATACACTCTTTTTGTAGAATCTGCAAGTGGATATTGGGATAGCTGTGAAGATTTCGTTGGAAACGGGAATATCTTCCTATAAAATCTAGACAGAAGCATTCTCAGAAACAGCTCTGTGATGTCTGCATTCAAGTCACAGAGTTGAACATTGCCTTTCATAGAGCAGGTTTGAAACGCTCTTTTTGTAGTATATGGAAGTGGACGTTTCGGACGGTTTGAGGCCCATGGTGATAAAGGGAATAACTTCCCCTACAAGCTAGAAAGAAGCATTCTGTGAAACTTGTTTGTGATGTGTGTACTCAACTAACAGAGTTGAACCTTTCTTTTCACAGAGCAGTTTTGAAACACTCTTTTTGTAGAATCTGCGAGGGGATATTTGGATAGATTTCAGGATTTCGTTGGAAACGGGAATATCTTCATATAAAATCTCTACAGAAGCATTCTCAGAAACTTCTTTGTGATATGTGCATTCAAGTCACAGAGTTGAATATTCCCTTTCACAGTGTAGGTTTGAAACACTCTTTTTGTAGTATCTGGATGTGGACATTTGGAGCGCCTTGACGCCTACGGTGAAAAGGGAAATATCTTCCCATAAAAACTAGACAGAAGCAATCTCAGAATCTTCTTTGGGATATATGCACGCAGCTAACAGAGTTGAACATTTCTATTGACAGAGCAGTTTTGAAACAGTCGTTCTGTGGAATCTGCAAGTGGATATTTCGATAGCTTGGAGGATTTCGTTGGAAACGGGATTACGTATCAAAAGTACACAGCAGCATCCTCAGAAACTTCTTTGTGATGTGTGCATTCAAGTGACAGAGTTGAACATTCCCTTTCGTACAGCAGTTTTGAAACACTCTTTCTGTAGTATCTGGAAGTGAACATTAGGACAGCTTTCAGCTCTATGGTGAGAAAGGAAATATCTTCAAATAAAAACTAGACAGAAGCATTCTCATAAACTTGTTTGTGATGTGTGAACTCAGCTAACAGAGGTGGATCTTTCTCTTGATAGAGCAGTTCTGAAAAACACTTTTTGTTGAATCTGCAAGTGGACATTTGGATAGATTTGAAGATTTCGTTGGAAACGGGAATATCTTCATATCAAATCTAGACAGAAGCATTCTCAGAAACGTCTTTGTGATGTTTGCATTCAACTCATAGAGTTGAACATTCCGTTTCATAGAGCAGCTTTGAGGCACTCTTTTTGTAGTATGTGCAAGTGGATATTTGGAGCGCTCTGAGGCCTACGGTGAAAAAGCAAATATCTTCCCATAACCACTAGACAGAAACATTCTCAGAAACTCCTTTATGACGTATGCACTCACCTAACAGAGAAGAACCTTCCTTTTGACAGAACAGTTTTGATACACTCTTTTTGTAGAATCTGCAAGTGGATATTTGGATAGCTGTGAAGATTTCGTTGGAAACGGGAATATCTTCCTATAAAATCTAGACAGAAGCATTCTCAGAAACTGCTCTGTGATGTCTGTATTCAAGTCACAGAGTTGAACATTGCCTTTCATAGAGCAGGTTTGAAACGCTCTTGTTGTAGTATATGGAAGTGGATGTTTCGGACGGTTGGAGGCCCATGGTGATAAAGGGAATATCTTCCCCTACAAGCTAGAAAGAAAGCATTCTGTGAAACTTGTTTGTGATGTGTGTACTCAACTAACAGAGTTGAACCTTTCTTTTTACAGAGCAATTTTGAAACACTCTTTTTGTAGAATCTGCGAAGGGATATTTGGATAGATTTCAGGATTTCGTTGGAAACGGGAGTATCTTCATATAAAATCTCGACAGAAGCATTCTCAGAAACTTCTTTGTGATATCTGCCTTTAAGTCACAGAGTTGAATATTCCCTTTCACAGAGTAGGTTTGAAGCACTCTTTTTGTAGTATCTGGAAGTGGACATTTGGAGCGCCTTGACACCTACGGTGAAAAGGGAAATATCTTCCCATAAAAACTAGACAGAAGCAATCTCAGAATCTTCTTTGGGATATATGCACGCAGCTAACAGAGTTGAACCTTTCTATTGACAGAGCAGTTTTGAAACAGTCTTTCTGTGGAATCTGCAAGTGGATATTTGGATAGCTTGGAGGATTTCGTTGGAAACGGGATTACGTATAAAAAGTAGATAGCAGCATCCTCAGAAATTTCTTTGTGATGTGTGCATTCAAGTCACAGATTTGAACATTCCCTTTCATACAGCAGTTTTGAAACACTCTTTCTGTAGTATCTGGAAGTGAACATTAGGACAGCTTTCAGGTCTATGGTGAGAAAGGAAATATCTTCAAATAAAAACTAGACAGAAGCATTTTCATAAACTTGTTTGTGATGTGTGAACTCAGCTAACAGAGGTGAATCTTTCTTTTGATAGAGCATCAGCTAACAGACGTGGATCTTTCTTTTGATACAGCAGTTTTGAAAAACACTTTTTGTTGAATCTGCAAGTGGACATTTGGATAGATATGAAGATTTCGTTGGAAACGGGAATATCTTCATATCAAATCTAGACAGAAGCATTCTCAGAAACGTCTTTGTGATGTTTGCATTCAACTCATAGAGTTGAACATTCCGTTTCAGAGAGCAGCTTTGAGGCACTCTTTTTGTAGTATGTGCAAGTGGATATTTGGAGCGCTCTGAGGCCTACGGTGAAAAAGCCAATATCTTCCCATAACCACTAGACAGAAACATTCTCAGAAACTCCTTTATGACGTATGCACTCACCTAACAGAGAAGAACCTTCCTTTTGACGGAGCAGTTTTGATACACTCTTTTTGCAGAATCTGCAAGTGGATATTTGGATAGCTGTGAAGATTTCGTTGGAAACGGGAATATCTTCCTATAAAATCTAGATGGAAGCATTCTCAGAAACTGCTCTGTGATGTCTGCATTCAAGTCACAGAGTTGAACATTGCCTTTCCTAGAACAGGTTTGAAACGCTCTTTTTGTAGTACATGGAAGTGGACGTTTCGGACGGTTTGAGGCCCATGGTGATAAAGGGAATATCTTCCCCTACAAGCTAGAAAGAAGCATTCTGTGAAACTTGTTTGTGATGTGTGTACTCAAACTAACAGAGTTGAACCTTTCTTTTTACAGAGCAGTTTTGAAACACTCTTTTTGTAGAATCTGCGAGGGGATATTTGGATAGATTTCAGGATTTCGTTGGAAAGGGGAATATCTTCATATAAAATCTCGACAGAAGCATTCTCAGAAACTTCTTTGTGATATGTGCATTCAAGTCACAGAGTTGAATATTCCCTTTCACAGAGTTGGTTTGAAACACTCTTTTTGTAGTATCTGGAAGTGGACATTTGGAGCGCCTTGACACCTACGGTGAAAAGGGAAATATCTTCCCATAAAAACTAGACAGAAACAATCTCAGAATCTTCTTTGGGATATATGCACGCAGCTAACAGAGTTGAACCTTTCTATTGACAGAGCAGTTTTGAAACAGTCTTTCTGTGGAATCTGCAAGTGGATATTTGGATAGCTTGGAGGATTTCGTTGGAAACGGGATTACGTATAAAAAGTAGACAGCAGCATCCTCAGAAACTTCTTTGTGATGTGTGCATTCAAGTCACAGAGTTGAACAATCCCTTTCGTACAGCAGTTTTGAAATACTCTTTCTGTAGTAACTGGAAGTGAACATTAGGAAAGCTTTCAGGTCTATGGTGAGAAAGGAAATATCTTCAAATAAAAACTAGACAGAAGCATTCTCATAAACTTGTTTGTGATGTCTGAACTCAGCTAACAGAGGTGGATCTTTCTTTTGATAGAGCAGTTCTGAAAAACACTTTTTGTTGAATCTGCAAGTGGACATTTGGATAGATTTGAAGATTTCGTTGGAAACGGGAATATCTTCATATCAAATCTAGACAGAAGCATTCTCAGAAACGTCTTTGTGATGTTTGCATTCAACTCATAGAGTTGAACATTCCCTTTCAGAGAGCAGCTTTGAAGCACTCTTTTTGTAGTATGTGCAAGTGGATATTTGGAGCGCTCTGAGGCCTACGGTGAAAAAGCAAATATCATCCCATAACCACTAGACGGAAACATTCTCAGAAACTCCTTTATGACCTATGCACTCACCTAAAAGAGAAGAACCTTCCTTTTGACAGAGCAGTTTTGATACACTCTTTTTGTAGAATCTGCAAGTGGATATTTGGATAGCTGTGAAGATTTCGTTGGAAACGGGAATATCTTCCTATAAAATCTAGACAGAAGCATTCTCAGAAACTGCTCTGTGATGTCTGCATTCAAGTCACAGAGTTGAACATTGCCTTTCATAGAGCACGTTTGAAACGCTCTTTTTGTAGTATATGGAAGTAGACGTTTCGGACGGTTTGAGGCCCATAGTGATAAAGGGAATATCTTCCCCTACAAGATAGAAAGAAGCATTCTGTGAAACTTCTTTGTGATGTGTGTACTCAACTAACAGAGTTGAACCTTTCTTTTTACAGAGCAGTTTTGAAACACTCTTTTTGTAGAATCTGCGAGGGGATATTTGGATAGATTTCAGGATTTCGTTGGAAACGGGAATATCTTCATATAAAATCTCGACAGAAGCATTCTCAGAAACTTCTTTGTGATATCTGCATTCAAGTCACAGAGTTGAATATTCCCTTTCACAGAGTAGGTTTGAAACACTCTTTTTGTAATATCTGGAAGTGGACATTTGGAGCGCCTTGACGCCTACGGTGAAAAGGGAAATATCTTCCCATAAAAACTAGACAGAAGCAATCTCAGAATCTTCTTTGGGATATATGCACGCAGCTAACAGAGTTGAACCTTTCTATTGACAGAGCAGTTTTGAAACAGTCTTTCTGTGGAATCTGCAAGTGGATATTTGGATAGCTTGGAGGATTTCGTTGGAAACGGGATTACGCATAAAAAGTAGACAGCAGCATCCTCAGAAACTTCTTTGTGATGTGTGCATTCAAGTCACAGAGTTGAACATTCCCTTTCGTACAGCAGTTTTGAAACACTCTTTCTGTAGTATCTGGAAGTGAACATTAGGACAGCTTTCAGGTCTATGGTGAGAAAGGAAATATCTTCAAATAAAAACTATACAGAAGCATTCTCATAAACTTGTTTGTGATGTGTGAACTCAGCTAAGAGACGTGGATCTTTCTTTTGATAGAGCAGTTCTGAAAAACACGTTTTGTTGAATCTGCAAGTGGACATTTGGATAGATTTGAAGATTTCGTGGGAACGGGAATATCTTCATATCAAATCTAGACAGAAGCATTCTCAGAAACGTCTTTGTGATGTTTGCATTCAACCCATAGAGTTGAACATTCCGTTTCAGAGAGCAGCTTTGAAGCGCTCTTTTTGTAGTATGTGCAAGGGGATATTTGGAGCGCTCTGAGGCCTAAGGTGAAAAAGCAAATATCTTCCCATAACCACTAGACAGAAACATTCTCAGAAACTTCTTTATGACGTATGTACTCAACTAGCAGAGAAGAACTTTCCTTTTGACAGAGCATTTTTGATACACTCTTTTTGTACTATCTGCAAGTGGATATTTGTATAGCTGTGAAGATTTCGTTGGAAACGGGAATATCTTCCTATAAAGTCTGGACAGAAGCATTCTCAGAAACTGCTCTGTGATGTCTGCATTCAAGTCACAGAGTTGAACATTGCCTTTCATAGAGCAGGTTTCAAACACTGTTTTTTTAGTATATGGAAGTGGACGTTTTGGACGGTTTGAGGCCCATGGTGATAAAGGAAATATCTTCCCCTACAAGCTAGAAAGAAGCATTCTGTGAAACTTGTTTGTGATGTGTGTACTCAACTAACAGAGTTGAACCTTTCTTTTTACAGAGCAGTTTTGAAACACTCTTTTTGTAGAATCTGCGAGGGCATATTTGGATAGATTTCAGGATTTCGTTGGAAACGGGAATATCTACATATAAAATCTCGACAGAAGCATTCTCAGAAACTTCTTTGTGATATCTGCCTTCAAGTCACAGAGTTGAATATTCCCTTTCACAGAGTAGGTTTGAAACACTCTTTTTGTAGTATCTGGAAGTGGACATTTGGAGCGCCTTGACGCCTAAGGTGAAAAGGGAAATATCTTCCCATAAAAACTAGACAGAAGCAATCTCACAATCTTCTTTGGGATATATGCACGCAGCTAACAGAGTTGAACCTTTCTATTGACAGAGCAGTTTTGAAACAGTCTTTCTGTGGAATCTGCAAGTGGATATTTGGATAGCTTGGAGGATTTCGTTGGAAACGGGATTACGTATAAAAAGTAGACAGCAGCATCGTCAGAAACTACTTTGTGATGTGTGCATTCAAGTCACAGAGTTGAACATTCCCTTTCGTACAGCAGTTTTGAAACACTCTTTCTGTAGTATCTGGAAGTGAACATTAGGACAGCTTGCAGGTCTATGGTGAGAAGGGAAATATCTTCAAATAAAAACTAGACAGAAGCATTCTCATAAACTTGTTTGTGATGTGTGAACTCAGCTAACCGAGATGGATCTTTCTTTTGATAGAGCAGTTCTGAAAAACACTTTTTGTTGAATCTGCAAGTGGACATTTGGATAGATTTGAAGATTTCGTTGGAAACGGGAATATCTTCATATCAAATCTAGACAGAAGCATTCTCGGAAACGTCTTTGTGATGTTTGCATTCAACTCATAGAGTTGAACATTCCGTTTCAGAGAGCAGCTTTGAGGCACTCATTTTGTAGTATGTGCAAGTGGATATTTGGAGCGCTCTGAGGCCTTCGGTGAAAAAGCAAATATCTTCCCATAACCACTAGACAGAAACATTCTCAGAAACTTCTTTATGACGTATGTACTCAACTAGCAGAGAAGAACTTTCCTTTTGACAGAGCAGTTTTGATACACTCTTTTTGTAGAATCTGCAAGTGGATATTTGGATATCTGTGAAGATTTCGCTGGAAACGGGAATATCTTCCTATAAAATCTAGACAGAAGCATTCTCAGAAACTGCTCTGTGATGTCTGCATTCAAGTCACGGAGTTGAACATTGCCTTTCATAGAGCAGGTTTGAAACGCTCTTTTTGTAGTATATGGAAGTGGACGTTTCGGACGGTTTGAGGCCCATGGTGATAAAGGGAATATCTTCCCCTACAAGCTAGAAAGAAGCATTCTGTGAAACTTGTTTGTGATGTGTGTACTCAACTAACAATAGTTGAACCTTTCTTTTTACAGAGCAGTTTTGAAACACTCTTTTTGTAGAATCTGCGAGGGGATATTTGGATACATTTCAGCATTTCGTTGGAAACGGGAATATCTTCATATAAAATCTCGACAGAAGCATTCTCAGAAACTTCTTTGGGATATCTGCATTCAAGTCACAGAGTTGAATATTCCCTTTCACAGAGTAGGTTTGAAACACTCTTTTTGTAGTATCTGGAAGTGGACATTTGGAGCGCATTGACGCCTACAGTGAAAAAGGAAATATCTTCCCATAAAAACTAGACAGAAGCAATCTCAGAATCTTCTTTGGGATATATGCACGCAGCTAACAGAGTTGAACCTTTCTATTGACAGAGCAGTTTTGAAACAGTCTTTCTCTGGAATCTGCAAGTGGATATTTGGATAGCTTGGAGGATTTCGTTGGAAACAGGATTACGTATAAAAAGTAGACAGCAGCATTCTCAGAAAATTCTTTGTGATGTGTGCATTCAAGTCACAGAGTTGAACATTCCCTTTCGTACAGCAGTTTTGAAACACTCTTTCTGTAGTATCTGGAAGTGAACATTAGGAGAGCTTCCAGGTCTATGGTGAGAAAGGATATATCTTCAAATAAAAACTAGACAGAAGCATTCTCATAAACTTGTTTGTGATGTGTGAACTCAGCTAACAGACGTGGATCTTTCCTTTGATACAGCAGTTTTGAAAAACACTTTTTGTTGAATCTGCAAGTGGACATTTGGATAGATTTGAAGATTTCGTTGGAAACGGGAATATCTTCATATCAAATCTAGACAGAAGCATTCTCAGAAACGTCTTTCTGATGTTTGCATTCAACTCATAGAGTTGAACATTCCCTTTCAGAGAGCAGCTTTGAAGCACTCTTTTTGTAGTATGTGCAAGGGGATATTTGGAGCGCTCTGAGGCCTACGGTGAAAAAGCAAATATCTTCCCATAACCACTAGACAGAAACATTCTCAGAAACTCCTGTATGACGTATGCACTCACCTAACAGAGAAGAACCTTCCTTTTGACAGAGCAGTTTTGATACACTCTTTTTGTAGAATATGCAAGTGGATATTTGGATAGCTGTGAAGATTTCTTTGGAAACGGGAATATCTTCCTATAAAATCTAGACAGAAGCATTCTCAGAAACTGCTCTTTGATGTCTGCATTCAAGTCACAGAGTTGAACATTGCCTTTCATAGAGCAGGTTTGAAACGCTCTTTTTGTAGTATATGGAAGTGGATGTTTCGGACGGTTGGAGGCCCATGGTGATAAAGGGAATATCTTCCCCTACAAGCTAGAAAGAAGCATTGTGTGAAACTTGTTTGTGATGTGTGTACTCAACTAACAGAGTTGAACCTTTCTTTTTACAGAGCAGTTTTGAAACACTCTTTTTGTAGAATCTGCGAGGGGATATTTGGATACATTTCAGGATTTCGTTGGAAACGGGAATACCTTCATATAAAATCTCGACAGAAGCATTCTCAGAAACTTCTTTGTGATATCTGCCTTCAAGTCACAGAGTTGAATATTCCCTTTCACAGAGTAGGTTTGAAACACTCTTTTTGTAGTATCTGGAAGTGGACATTTGGAGCGCCTTGACGCCTACGGTGAAAAGGGAAATATCTTCCCATAAAAACTAGACAGAAGCAATCTCAGAATCTTCTTTGGGATATATGCACGCAGCTAACAAAGTTGAACCTTTCTATTGACAGAGCAGTTTTGAAACAGTCTTTCTGTGGAATCTGCAAGTGGATATTTGGATAGCTTGGAGGATTTCGTTGGAAACGGGATTACGTATAAAAAGTAGACAGCAGCATCCTCAGAAACTTCTTTGTGATGTGTGCATTCAAGTCACAGAGTTGAACATTCCCTTTCGTACAGCAGTTTTGAAACACTCTTTCTGTACTATCTGGAAGTGAACATTAGGACAGCTTTCAGCTCTATGGTGAGAAAGGAAATATCTTCAAATAAAAACTAGACAGAAGCATTCTGATAAACTTGTTTGTGAAGTGTGATCTCAGCTAACAGAGGTGGATCTTTCTTTTGATAGAGCAGTTCTGAAAAACACTTTGTTGAATCTGCAAGTGGACATTTGGATAGATTTGAAGATTTCGTTGGAAACGGGAATATCTTCATATCAAATCTAGACAGAAGTATTCTCAGAAACGTCTTTGTGATGTTTGCATTCAACTCATAGAGTTGAACATTCCCTTTCAGAGAGCAGCTTTGAAGCACTCTTTTTGTAGTATGTGCAAGTGGATATTTGGAGCGCTCTGAGGCCTACGGTGAAAAAGCAAATATCTTCCCATAACCACTAGACAGAAACATTCTCAGAAACTCCTTTATGACGTATGCACTCACCTAACAGAAAAGAACCTTCCTTTTGACAGAGCAGTTTTGATACACTCTTTTTGTAGAATCTACAAGTGGATATTTGGATAGCTGTGAAGATTTCGTTGGAAACGGGAATATCTTCCTTTAAAATCTAGACAGAAGCATTCTCAGAAACTGCTCTGTGATGTCTGTATTCAAGTCACAGAGTTGAACATTGCCTTTCATAGAGCAGGTTTGAAACGCTCTTTTTGTAGTATATGGAAGTGGATGTTTCGGACGGTTGGAGGCCCATGGTGATAAACGGAATATCTTCCCCTACAAGCTAGAAAGAAGCATTCTGTGAAACTTGTTTGTGATGTGTGTACTCAACTAACAGAGTTGAACATTTCTTTTTACAGAGCAGTTTTGAAACACTCTTTTTGTAGAATCTGCGAGGGGATATTAGGATAGATTTCAGGATTTCGTTGGAAACGGGAATATCTTCATATAAAATCTCGACAGAAGCATTCTCAGAAACTTCTTTGTGATATGTGCATTCAAGTCACAGAGTTGAATATTCCCTTTCACAGAGTAGGTTTGAAACACTCTTTTTGTAGTATCTGGAAGTGGACATTTGGAGCGCCTTGACACCTACGGTCAAAAGGGAAATATCTTCCCATAAAAACTAGACAGAAGCAATCTCAGAATCTTCTTTGGGATATATGCACACAGCTAACAGAGTTGAACCTTTCTATTGACAGAGCAGTTTTGAAACAGTCTTTCTGTGGAATCTGCAAGTGGATATTTGGATAGCTTGGAGGATTTCGTTGGAAACGGGATTAAGTATAAAAAGTAGACAGCAGCATCCTCAGAAACTTCTTTGTGATGTGTGCATTCAAGTCACAGAGTTGAACATTCCCTTTCGTACAGCAGTTTTGAAACGCTCTTTCTGTAGTATCTGGAAGTGAACATTAGGAGAGCTTTCAGGTCTATGTTGAGAAAGGAAATATCTTCAAATAAAAACTAGACAGAAGCATTCTCATAAACTTGTTTGTGATGTGTGAACTCAGCTAACAGAGGTGGATCTTTCTTTTGATAGAGCAGTTCTGAAAAACACTTTTGTTTAATCTGCAAGTGGACATTTGGATAGATTTGAAGATTTCGTTGGAAACGGGAATATCTTCATATCAAATCTAGACAGAAGCATTCTCAGAAACGTCTTTGTGATGTTTGCATTCAACTCATAGAGTTGAACATTCCGTTTCAGAGAGCAGCTTTGAGGCACTCTTTTTGTAGTATGTGCAAGTGGATATTTGGAGCGCTCTGAGGCCTGCGGTGAAAAAGCAAATATCTTCCCATAACCACTAGACAGAAACATTCTCAGAAACTCCTTTATGACGTATGCACTCACCTAACAGAGAAGAACCTTCCTTTTGACAGAGCAGTTTTGATACACTCTTTTTGTAGAATCTGCAAGTGGATATTTGGATAGCTGTGAAGATTTCGTTGGAAACGGGAATACCTTCCTATAAAATCTAGACAGAAGCATTCTCAGAAACTGCTCTGTGATGTCTGCATTCAAGTCACAGAGTTGAACATTGCCTTTCCTAGAGCAGGTTTGAAACGCTCTTTTTGTAGAATATGGAAGTGGATGTTTCGGACGGTTGGAGGCCCATGGTGATAAAGGGAAAATCTTCCCCTACAAGCTAGAAAGAAGCATTGTGTGAAACTTGTTTGTGATGTGTGTACTCAACTAACAGAGTTGAACCTTTCTTTTTACAGAGCAGTTTTGAAACACTCTTTTTGTAGAATCTGCAAGGGGATATTTGGATAGATTTCAGGGATTTCGTTGGAAACGGGAATATCTTCATATAAAATCTCGACAGAAGCATTCTCAGAAACTTCTTTGTGATATCTGCATTCCAGTCACAGAGTTGAATATTCCCTTTCACAGAGTAGGTTTGAAACACTCTTTTTATAGTATCTGGAATTGGACATTTGGAGCGCCTTGACGCCTACGGTGAAAAGGGAAATATCTTCCGATAAAAACTAGACAGAAGAAATCTCAGAATCTTCTTTGGGATATATGCACGCAGCTAACAGAGTTGAACCTTTCTATTGACAGAGCAGTTTTGAAACAGTCTTTCTGTGGAATCTGCAAGTGGATATTTGGATAACTTGGAGGATTTCGTTGGAAACGGGATTACGTATAAAAAGTAGACAGCAGCATCCTCAGAAACATCCTTGTGATGTGTGCATTCAAGTCACAGAGTTGAACATTCCCTTTCGTACAGCAGTTTTGAAACACTCTTTCTGTAGTATCTGTAAGTGAACTTTAGGACAGCTTTCAGGTCTATAGTGAGAAAGGATATATCTTCAAATAAAAACTAGACAGAAGCATACTCATAAACTTGTTCGTGATGTGTGAACTCAGCTAAGAGCCGTGGATCTTTCTTTTGATAGAGCAGTTCTGAAAAACACTTTTTGTTGAATCTGCAAGTGGACATTTGCATAGATTTGAAGATTTCTTTGGAAACGGGAATATCTTCATATCAAATCTAGACAGAAGCATTCTCAGAAACGTCTTTGTGGTGTTTGCATTCAACTCATAGAGTTGAACATTCCGTTTCAGAGAGCAGCTTTGAAGCACTCTTTTTGTAGTATGTGCAAGTGGATATTTGGAGCGCTCTGAGGCCTACGGGGAAAAAGCAAATATCTTCCCATAACCACTAGACTGAAACATTCTCAGAAACTCCTTTATGACGTATGCACTCACCTAACAGAGAAGAACCTTCCTTTTGACAGAGCAGTTTTGATACACTCTTTTTGTAGAATCTGCAAGTGGATATTAGGATAGCTGTGAAGATTTCGTTGGAAACGGGAATATCTTCCTATAAAATCTAGACAGAAGCATTCTCAGAAATTGCTCTGTGATGTCTTCATTCAAGTCACAGAGTTGAACATTGCCTTTCATAGAGCAGGTTTGAAACACTCTTTTTTTAGTATATGGAAGTGGACGTTTCGGACGGTTTGAGGCCCATGGTGATAAAGGGAATATCTTCCCCTACAAGCTAGAAAGAATCATTCTGTGAAACTTGTTTGTGATGTGTGTACTCAACTAACAGAGTTGAACCTTTCTTTTTACAGAGCAGTTTTGAAACACTCTTTTTGTAGAATCTGCGAGGGGATATTTGGAGAGATTTCAGGATTTCGTTGGAAACGGGAATATCTTCATATAAAATCTCGACAGAAGCATTCTCAGAAACATCTTTGTGATATGTGCATTCAAGTCACAGAGTTGAATATTCCCTTTCACAGAGTAGGTTTGAAACACTCTTTTTGTAGTATCTGGAAGTGGACATTTGGAGCGCCTTGACGCCTACGGTGAAAAGGGAAATATCTTCCCATAAAAACTAGACAGAAGCAATCTCAGAATCTTCTTTGGGATATATGCACGCAGCTAACAGAGTTGAACCTTTCTTTTGACAGAGCAGTTTTGAAACAGTCTTTCTGTGGAATCTGCAAGTGGATATTTGGATAGCTTGGAGGATTTCGTTGGAAACGGTATTACGTATAAAAAGTAGACAGCCATCCTCAGAAACTTCTTTGTGATGTGTGCATTCAAGTCACAGAGTTGAACATTCCCTTTCGTACAGCAGTTTTGAAACACTCTTTCTGTAGTATCTGGAAGTGAACATTAGGACAGCTTTCAGGTCTATGGTGAGAAAGGAAATATCTTCAAATAAAAACTAGACAGAAGCATTCTCATAAACTTGTTTGTGATGTGTGAACTCAGCTAAGAGACGTGGATCTTTCTTTTGATAGAGCAGGTCTGAAAAACACGTTTTGTTGAATCTGCAAGTGGACATTTGGATAGATTTGAAGATTTCGTTGGAAACGGGAATAACTTCATATCAAATCTAGACAGAAGCATTCTCAGAAACGTCTTTGTGATGTTTGCATTCAACTCATAGAGTTGAACATTCCCTTTTAGAGAGCAGCTTTGAAGCACTCTTTTTGTAGTATGTGCAAGTGGATATTTGGAGCGCTCTGAGGTCTACGGTGAAAAAGCAAATATCTTCCCATAACCACTAGACAGAAACATTCTCAGAAACTCCTTTATGACGTATGTACTCAACTAACAGAGAAGAACCTTCCTTTTGACAGAGCAGTTTTGATACACTCTTTTTGTAGAATCTGCAAGTGGATATTTGGATAGCTGTGAAGATTTCGTTGGAAAAGGGAATATCTTCCTATAAAATCTAGACAGAAGCATTCTCAGAAACTGCTCTGTGATGTCTGCATTCAAGTCACACAGTTGAACATTGCCTTTCATAGAGCAGGTTTGAAACGCTCTTTTTGTAGTATATGGAAGTGGACGTTTCGGACGGTTTGAGGCCCATGGTGATAAAGGAAATATCTTCCCCTACAAGCTAGAAAGAAGCATTGTGTGAAACTTGTTTGTGATGTGTGTACTCAACTAACAGAGTTGAACCTTTCTTTTTACAGAGCAGTTTTGAAACACTCTTTTGTAGAATCTGCAAGGGGATATTTGGATACATTTCAGGATTTCGTTGGAAACGGGAATATCTTCATATAAAATCTCGACAGAAGCATTCTCAGAAGCTTCTTTGTGATATGTGCATTCAAGTCACAGACTTGAATATTCCCTTTCACAGAGTAGGTTTGAAACATTCTTTTTGTAGTATCTGGAAGTGGACATTTGGAGCGCCTTGACGCCTACGGTGAAAAGGGAAATATCTTCTCATAAAAAGTAGACACAAGCAATCTCAGAATCTCCTTTGGGATATATGCACGCAGCTAACAGAGTTGAACCTTTCTATTGACAGAGCAGTTTTGAAACAGTCTTTCTGTGGAATCTGCAATTGGATATTTGGATAGCTTGGAGGATTTCGTTGGAAACGGGATTTCGTATAAAAAGTAGACAGCAGCATCCTCAGAAACTTCTTTGTGATGTGTGCATTCAAGTCACAGGGTTGAACATTCCCTTTCGTACAACAGTTTTGAAACACTCTTTCTGTAGTATCTGAAGTGAACAATAGGACAGCTTTCAGGTCTATGATGAGAAAGGAAATATCTTCAAATAAAAACTAGACAGAAGCATTCTCATAAACTTGTTTGTGATGTGTGAACTCAGCTAACAGAGGTGGATCTTTCTTTTGATACAGCAGTTTTGAAAAACACTTTTTGTTGAATCTGCAAGTGGACATTTGGATAGATATGAAGATTTCGTTGGAAACGGGAATATCTTCATATCAAATCTAGACAGAAGCATTCTCAGAAACGTCTTTGTGATGTTTGCATTCAACTCATAGAGTTGAACATTCCGTTTCAGAGAGCAGCTGTGAGGCACTCTTTTTGTAGTATGTGCAAGTGGATATTTGGAGCGCTCTGAGGCCTACGGTGAAAAAGCAAATATCTTCCCATAACCACTAGACAGAAACATTCTCAGAAACTCCTTTATGACGTATGCACTCACCTAACAGAGAAGAACCTTCCTTTTGACAGAGCAGTTTTGATACACTCTTTTTGTAGAATCTGCAAGTGGATATTTGGATAGCTGCGAAGATTTCGTTGGAAACGGGAATATCTTCCTATAAAATCTAGACAGAAGCATTCTCAGACACTGCTCTGCGATGTCTGCATTCAAGTCACAGAGTTGAACATTGCCTTTCATAGAGCAGGTTTGAAACGCTCTTTTTGTAGTATATGGAAGTGGACTTATCGGACGGTTTGAGGCCCATGGTGATAAAGGGAATATCTTCCCCTACAAGCTAGAAAGAAGCATTCTGTGAAACTTGTTTGTGATGTGTGTACTCAACTAACAGAGTTGAACCTTTCTTTTTACAGAGCAGTTTTGAAACACTCTTTTTGTAGAATCTGCGAGGGGATATTTGGATACATTTCAGCATTTAGTTGGAAACGGGAATATCTTCATATAAAATCTCGACAGAAGCATTCTCAGAAACTTCTTTGTGATATGTGCATTCAAGTCACAGAGTTGAATGTTCCCTTTCACAGAGTAGGTTTGAAACACTCTTTTTGTAGTATCTGGAAGAGGACATTTGGAGCGCCTTGACGCGTACGGTGAAAAGGGAAATATCTTCTCATAAAAAGTAGACAGAAGCAATCTCAGAATCTTCTTTGGGATATATGCACGCAGCTAACAGAGTTGAACCTTTCTATTGACAGAGCAGTTTTGAAACAGTCTTTCTGTGGAATCTGCAAGTGGATATGTGGATAGATTGGAGGATTTCGTTGGAAACGGGATTACGTATAAAAATTAGACAGCAGCATCCTCAGAAACTTCTTTGTGATGTGTGCATTCAAGTCACAGAGTTGAACTTCCCTTTCGTACAGCAGTTTTGAAACACTCTTTCTGTAGTATCTGGAAGTGAACATTAGGACAGCTTTCAGGTCTATGGTGAGAAAGGAAATATCTTCAAATAAAAACTAGACAGAAGCATTCTCATAAACTTGTTTGTGATGTGTGAACTCCGCTAACAGAGGTGGATCTTTCTTTTGATAGAGCAGTTCTGAAAAACACTTTTTGTTGAATCTGCAAGTGGACATTTGGATAGATTTGAAGATTTCGTTGGAAACGGGAATATCTTCATATCAAATCTAGACAGACGCATTCTCAGAAACGTCTTTGTGATGTTTACATTCAACTCATAGAGTTGAACATTCCCTTTCAGAGAGCAGCTTTGAAGCACTCTTTTTGTAGCATGTGCAAGTGGACATTTGGAGCGCTCTGAGGCCTACGGGGAAAAAGCAAATATCTTCCCATAACCACTAGACAGAAACATTCTCAGAAACTTCTTTATGACGTATGTACTCAACTAGCAGAGAAGAACTGTCCTCTTGACAGAGCATTTTTGATACACTCTTTTTGTAGTATCTGCAAGTGGATATTTGGATAGCTGTGAAGATTTCGTTGGAATCGGGAATATCTTCCTATAAAGTCCGGACAGAAGCATTCTCAGAAACTGCTCTGTGATGTTTGCTTTCATGTCACAGAGTTGAACATTGCCTTTCATAGAGCAGGTTTCAAGCACTCTTTTTTTAGTATATGGAAGTGGACGTTTCGGACGGTTTGAGGCCCATGGTGATAAAGGAAATATCTTCCCCTAGAA
This sequence comes from Homo sapiens, assembly GCF_000001405.40. Taxonomy (NCBI): domain Eukaryota; kingdom Metazoa; phylum Chordata; class Mammalia; order Primates; family Hominidae; genus Homo; species Homo sapiens. The sequence continues at coordinate 17,317,283 of NC_000013.11, forward strand.
GCTAGAAAGAAGCATTCTGTGAAACTTGTTTGTGATGTGTGTACTCAACTAACAGAGTTGAACCTTTCTTTTTACAGAGCACTTTTGAAACACTCTTTTTGTAGAATCTGCGAGGGGATATTTGGATAGATTTCAGGATTTCGTTGGAAACGGGAATATCTTCATATAAAATCTCGACAGAAGCATTCTCAGAAACTTCTTTGTGATATCTGCATTCAAGTCACAGAGTTGAATATTCCCTTTCACAGAGTAGGTTTGAAACACTCTTTTTGTAGTATCTGGAAGTGGACATTTGGAGCGCCTTGACGCCTACAGTGAAAAGGGAAATATCTTCCAATAAAAACTAGACAGAAAGCAATCTCAGAATCTTCTTTGGGATATATGCACGCAGCTAACAGAGTTGAACCTTTCTATTGACAGAGCAGTTTTGAAACAGTCTTTCTGTGGAATCTGCAAGTGGATATTTGGATAGCTTGGAGGATTTCGTTGGAAACGGGATTACGTATAAAAAGTAGACAGAGCATCCTCAGAAAATTCTTTGTGATGTGTGCATTCAAGTCACAGAGTTGAACATTCCCTTTCGTACAGCAGTTTTGAAACACTCTTTCTGTAGTATCTGGAAGTGAACATTAGGACAGCTTTCAGCTCTATGGTGAGAAAGGAAATATCTTCAAATAAAAACTAGACAGAAGCATTCTCATAAACTTGTTTGTGATGTCTGAACTCAGCTAACAGACGTGGATCGTTCTTTTGATACAGCAGTTTTGAAAAACACTTTTTGTTGAATCTGCAAGTGGACATTTGGATAGATTTGAAGATTTCGTTGGAAACGGGAATATCTTCATATCAAATCTAGACAGAAGCATTCTCAGAAACGTCGTTGTGATGTTTGCATTCAACTCATAGAGTTGAACATTCCGATTCAGAGAGCAGCTTTGAGGCACTCTTTTTGTAGTATGTGCAAGTGGATATTTGGAGCGCTCTGAGGCCTACGGTGAAAAAGCAAATATCTTCCCATAACCACTAGACAGAAACATTCTCAGAAACTCCTTTATGACGTATGCACTCACCTAACAGAGAAGAACCTTCCTTTTGACAGAGCAGTTTTGATACACTCTTTTTGTAGAGTCTGCAAGTGGATATTTGGATAGCTGTGAAGATTTCGTTGGAAACGGGAATATCTTCCTATAAAATCTAGACAGAAGCATTCTCAGAAACTGCTCTGTGATGTCTGTATTCAAGTCACAGAGTTGAACATTGCCTTTCATAGAGCAGGTTTGAAACGCTCTTTTTGTAGTATATGTAAGTGGATGTTTCGGACGGTTGGAGGCCCATGGTGATAAAGGGAATATCTTCCCCTACAAGCTAGAAAGAAGCATTCTGTGAAACTTGTTTGTGATGTGTGTACTCAACTAACAGAGTTGAACCTTTCTTTTTACAGAGCAGTTTTGAAACACTCTTTTTGTAGAATCTGCGAGGGGATATTTGGAGAGATTTCAGGATTTCGTTGGAACCGGGAATATCTTCATATAAAATCTCGACAGAAGCATTCTCAGAAACTTCTTTGTGATATCTGCATTCAAGTCACAGAGTTGAATATTCCGTTTCACAGAGTAGGTTTGAAACACTCTTTTTGTAGTATCTGGAAGTGGACATTTGGAGCGCCTTGACACCTACGGTGAAAAGGGAAATATCTTCCCATAAAAACTAGACAGAAGCAATCTCAGAATCTTCTTTGGGATATATGCACGCAGCTAACAGAGTTGAACCTTTCTATTGACAGAGCAGTTTTGATACAGTCTTTCTGTGGAATCTGCAAGTGGATATTTGGATAGCTTGGAGGATTTCGTTGGAAACGGGATTACGTATAAAAAGTAGACAGCAGCATCCTCAGAAACTTCTTTGTGATGTGTGCATTCAAGTCACAGAGTTGAACATTCCCTTTCGTACAGCAGTTTTGAAACACTCTTTCTGTAGTATCTGGAAGTGAACATTAGGACAGCTTTCAGGTCTCTGGTGAGAAAGGAAATATCTTCAAATAAAAACTAGACAGAAGCATTCTCATAAACTTGTTTGTGATGTGTGAACTCAGCTAACAGAGGTGGATCTTTCTTTTGATAGAGCAGTTCTGAAAAACACGTTTTGTTGAATCTGCAAGTGGACATTTGGATAGATTTGAAGATTTCTTTGGAAACGGGAATATCGTCATATCAAATCTAGACAGAAGCATTCTCAGAAACGTCTTTGTCATGTTTGCATTCAACTCATAGAGTTGAACATTCCCTTTCAGAGAGCAGCTTTGAAACACTCTTTTTGTAGTATGTGCAAGTGGATATTTGGAGCGCTCTGAGGCCTACGGTGAAAAAGCAAATATCTTCCCATAACCACTAGACAGAAACATTCTCAGAAACTCCTTTATGACGTATGCACTCACCTAACAGAGAAGAACCTTCCTTTTGACAGAGCAGTTTTGATACACTCTTTTTGTAGAATCTGCAAGTGGATATTTCGATAGCTGTGAAGATTTTGTTGGAAACGGGAATATCTTCCTATAAAATCTAGACAGAAGCATTCTCAGAAACTGCTCTGTGATGTCTGCATTCAAGTCACAGAGTTGAACATTGCCTTTCATAGAGCAGGTTTGAAACGCTCTTTTTGTAGTATATGGAAGTGGACGTTTCGGACGGTTTGAGGCCCATGGTGATAAGGGGAATATCATTCCCCTACAAGCTAGAAAGAAGCATTCTGTGAAACTTGTGATGTGTGTACTCAACTAACAGAGTTGAACCTTTCTTTTTACAGAGCAGTTTTGAAACACTCTTTTTGTAGAATCTGCGAGGGGATATTTGGATAGATTTCAGGATTTCGTTGGAAACGGGAATATCTTCATATAAAATCTCGACAGAAGCATTCTCAGAAACTTCTTTGGAATATGTGTATTCAAGTCACAGAGTTGAATACTCCCTTTCACAGAGTAGGTTTGAAACACTCTTTTTGTAGTATCTGGAAGTGGACATTTTGAGCGCCTTGACGCCTACGGTGAAAAGGGAAATATCTTCCCATAAAAACTAGACAGAAGCAATCTCAGAATCTTCTTTGGGATATATGCACGCAGCTAACAGAGTTGAACCTTTCTATTGACAGAGCAGTTTTGAAACAGTCTTTCTGTGGAATCTGGAAGTGGATATTTGGATAGCTTGGAGGATTTCGTTGGAAACGGGATTAAGTATAAAAAGTAGACAGCAGCATCCTCAGAAACTTCTTTGTGATGTGTGCATTCAAGTCACAGAGTTGAACATTCCCTTTCGTACAGCAGTTTTGAAACACTCTTTCTGTAGTATCTGGAAGTGAACATTAGGACAGCTTTCAGCTCTATGGTGAGAAAGGAAATATCTTTAAATAAAAACGAGACAGAAGCATTCTCATAAACTTTTTGTGATGTGTGAACTCAGCTAACAGAGGTGGATCTTTCTTTTGATAGAGAAGTACTGAAAAACACTTTTTGTTGAATCTGCAAGTGGACATTTGGATAGATTTGAAGATTTCGTTGGAAACGGGAATATCTTCATATCAAATCTAGACAGAAGCATTCTCGGAAACGTCTTTGTCATGTTTGCATTCAACTCATAGAGTTGAACATTCCGTTTCAGAGAGCAGCTTTGAAGCACTCTTTTTGTAGTATGTGCAAGGGGATATTTGGAGCGCTCTGAGGCCTAAGGTGAAAATGCAAATATCTTCCCATAACCACTAAACAGAAACATTCTCATAAACTCCTTTATGACGTATGTACTCAACTAACAGAGAAGAACCTTCCTTTTGACAGAGCCGTTTTGATACACTCTTTTTGTAGAATCTGCAAGTGGATATTTGGATAGCTGTGAAGATTTCGTTGGAAACGGGAATATCTTCCTATAAAATCTAGACAGAAGCATTCTCAGAAAGTGCTCTGTGATGTCTGCATTCAAGTCACAGAGTTGAACATTGCCTTTCATAGAGCAGGTTTGAAACACTCTTTTTGTAGTATATGGAAGTGGACGTTTCGGACGGTTTGAGGCCCATGGTGATAATGGGAATATCTTCCCCTACAAGCTAGAAAGAAGCATTCTGTGAAACTTGTTTGTGATGTGTGTACTCAACTAACAGGGTTGAACCTTTCTTTTTACAGAGCAGTTTTGAAACACTCTTTTTGTAGAATCTGCGAGGGGATATTTGGATAGATTTCAGGATTTCATTGGAAACGGGAATATCTTCATATAAAATCTCGACAGAAGCATTCTCAGAAACTTCTTTGTGATATGTGCATTCAAGTCACAGAGTTGAATATTCCCTTTCACAGAGTAGGTTTAAAACACTCTTTTTGTAGTATCTGGAAGTGGACATTTGGAGCGCCTTGACGCCTACGGTGAAAAGGGAAATATCTTCTCATAAAAACTAGACAGAAGCAATCTCAGAATCTTCTTTGGGATATATGCACGCAGCTAATAGAGTTGAACTTTTCTATTGACAGAGCAGATTTCAAACAGTCTTTCTGTGGAATCTGCAAGTGGATATTTGGATAGCCTGGAGGATTTCGTTGGAAACGGGATTACGTATAAAAAGTAGACAGCAGCATCCTCAGAAACATCCTTGTGATGTGTGCATTCAAGTCACAGAGTTGAACATTTCCTTTCGTACAGCAGTTTTGAAACACTCTTTCTGTAGTATCTGGAAGTGAACTTTAGGAGAGCTTTCAGGTCTATAGTGAGAAAGGATATATCTTCAAATAAAAACTAGACAGAAGCATTCTCATAAACTTGTTTGTGATGTGTGAACTCAGCTAACAGAGGTGGATCTTTCTTTTGATAGAGCAGTTCTGAAAAACACTTTTTGTTGAATCTGCAAGTGTACATTTGGATAGATTTGAAGATTTCCTTGGAAACGGGAATATCTTCATATCAAATCTAGACAGAAGAATTCTCAGAAACGTCTTTGTGATGTTTGCATTCAACTCATAGAGTTGAACATTCCCTTTCAGAGAGCAGCTTTGAAGCACTCTTTTTGTAGTATGTGCAAGTGGATATTTGGAGCGCTCTGAGGCCTACGGTGAAAAATCAAATATCTTCCCATAACCACTAGACAGAAACATTCTCAGAAACTCCTTTATGACGTATGTACTCAACTAACAGAGAAGAACCTTCCTTTTGACAGAGCAGTTTTGATACACTCTTTTTGTAGAATCTGCAAGTGGATATTTGGATAGCTGTGAAGATTTTGTTGGAAACGGGAATATAAAATCTAGACAGAAGCATTCTCAGAAACTGCTCTGTGATGTCTGCATTCAAGTCACAGAGTTGAACATTGCCTTTCATAGAGCAGGTTTGAAACGCTCTTTTTCTAGTATATGGAAGTTGGACGTTTCGGACGGTTTGAGGCCCATGGTGATAAAGGGAATATCTTCCCCTACAAGCTAGAAAGAACCATTGTGTGAAACTTGTTTGTGATGTGTGTACTCAACTAACAGAGTTGAACCTTTCTTTTTACAGAGCAGTTTTGAAACACTCTTTTTGTAGAATCTGCGAGGGGATATTTGGATAGATTTCAGCATTTCGTTGGAAACGGGAATATCTTCATATAAAATCTCGACAGAAGCATTCTCAGAAACTTCTTTGTGATATGTGCATTCAAGTCACAGAGTTGAATATTCCCTTTCACAGAGTAGGTTTGAAACACTCTTTTTGTAGTATCTGGAAGTGGACATTTGGAGCGCCTTGACGCCCACGGTGAAAAGGGAAATATCTTCCCATAAAAACTAGACAGAAGCAATCTCAGAATCTTCTTTGGGATATATGCACGCAGCTAACAGAGTTGAACCTTTCTATTGACAGAGCAGTTTTGTAACAGTCTTTCTGTGGAATCTGCAAGTGGATATTTGGATAGCTTGGAGGATTTCGTTGGAAACGGGTTTACGTATAAAAAGTAGACAGCAGCATCCTCAGAAACTTCTTTGTGATGTGTGCATTCAAGTCACAGAGTTGAACATTCCCTTTCGTAGAGCAGTTTTGAAACACTCTTTCTATAGTATCTGGAAGTGAACATTAGGACAGCTTTCAGGTCTATGGTGAGAAAGGAAATATCTTCAAATAAAAATTAGACAGAAGCATTCTCATAAACTTGTTTGTGATGTGTGAACTCAGCTAACAGAGATGGATCTTTCTTTTGATAGAGCAGATCTGAAAAACACTTTTTGTTGAATCTGCAATTGGACATTTGGATAGATTTGAAGATTTCGTTGGAAACGGGAATATCTTCATATCAAATCTAGACAGAAGCATTCTCAGAAACTTCTTTGTGATGTTTGCATTCAACTCATAGAGTTGAACATTCCATTTCAGAGAGCAGCTTTGAGGCACTCTTTTTGTAGTATGTGCAAGTGGATAGTTGGAGCGCTCTGAGGCCTACGGTGAAAAAGCAAATATCTTCCCATAACCACTAGACAGAAACATTCTCAGAAACTCCTTTATGACGTATGCACTCATCTAACAGAGAAGAACCTTCCTTTTGACAGAGCAGTTTTGATACACTCTTTTTGTAGAATCTGCAAGTGGATATTTGGATAGCTGTGAAGATTTCTTTGGAAACGGGAATATCTTCCTATAAAATCTAGACAGAAGCATTCTCAGAAACTGCTCTGTGATGTCTGCATTCAAGTCACAGAGTTGAACATTGCCTTTCATAGAGCAGGTTTGAAACGCTCTTTTTGTAGTATATAAAAGTGGACGTTTCGGACGGTTTGAGGCCCATGGTGATAAAGGGAATATCTTCCCCTACAAGCTAGAAAGAAGCATTCTGTGAAACTTGTTTGTGATGTGTGTACTCAACTAACAGAGTTGAACCTTTCTTTTTACAGAGCAGTTTTGAAACACTCTTTTTGTAGAATCTGCGAGGGGATATTTGTATAGATTTCAGGATTTTGTTGGAAACGGGAATATCTTCATATAAAATCTCGACAGAAGCATTCTCAGAAACTTCTTTGTGATATGTGTATTCAAGTCACAGAGTTGAATATTCCCTTTCACAGAGTAGGTTTGAAACACTCTTTTTGTAGTATCAGGAAGTGGACATTTGGAGCGCCTTGACACTTATGGTGAAAAGGGAAATATCTTCCCATAAAAACTAGACAGAAGCATTCTGTGAAACTTGTTTGTGATGTTTGTACTCAACTAACAGAGTTGAACCTTTCTTTTTAGAGAGCAGTTTTGAAACACTCTTTCTGTAGAATCTGCAAGGGGATATTTGGATAGATTTCAGGATTTCGTTGGAAACGGGAATATCTTCATATAAAATCTCGACAGAAGCATTCTCAGAAACTTCTTTGTGATGTGTGCATTCAAGTCACAGAGTTGAACATTCCCTTTCGTACAGCAGTTTTGAAACACTCTTTCTGTAGTATCTGGAAGTGAACATTAGGACAGCTTTCAGCACTACGGTGAGAAAGGAAATATCTTCAAATAAAAACTAGACAGAAGCATTCTCATAAACTTTTTTGTGATGTGTGAACTCAGCTAACAGAGGTGGATCTTTCTTTTGATAGAGCAGTTCTGAAAAACACTTTTTGTTGAATCTGCAAGTGGACATTTGGATAGATTTGAAGATTTCGTTGGAAACGGGAATATCTTCATATCAAATCTAGACAGACAGCATTCTCAGAAACGTCTTTGTGATGTTTGCATTCAACTCATAGAGTTGAACATTCCCTTTCAGAGAGCAGCTTTGAAGCACTCTTTTTGTAGCATGTGCAAGTGGACATTTGGAGCGCCCTGAGGCCTACGGGGAAAAAGCAAATATCTTCCCATAACCACTAGACAGAAACATTCTCAGAAACTCCTTTATGACGTATGCACTCACCTAACAGAGAAGAACCTTCCTTTTGACAGAGCAGTTTTGATACACTCTTTTTGTAGAATCTGCATGTGGATATTTGGATAGCTGTGAAGATTTCGTTGGAAACGGGAATATCTTCCTATAAAATCTAGACAGAAGCATTCTCAGAAACTGCTCTGTGATGTCTGCATTCAAGTCACAGAGTTGAACATTGCCTTTGATAGAGCAGGTTTGAAACGCTCTTTTTGTAGTATATGGAAGTGGACGTTTCGGACGGTTTGAGGCCCATGGTGATAAAGGGAATATCTTCCCCTACAAGCTAAAAAGAAGCATTGTGTGAAACTTGTTTGTGATGTGTGTACTCAACTAACAGAGTTGAACCTTTCTTTTTACAGAGCAGTTTTGAAACACTCTTTTTGTAGAATCTGCGAGGGGATATTTGGATACATTTCAGCATTTCGTTGGAAACGGGAATATCTTCATATAAAATCTCGACAGAAGCATTCTCAGAAACTTCTTTGTGATATCTGCCTTTAAGTCACAGCAGTTGAATATTCCCTTTCACAGAGTAGGTTTGAAACACTCTTTTTGTAGTATCTGGAAGTGGACATTTGGAGCGCCTTGACACCTACGGTGAAAAGGGAAATATCTTCCCATAAAAACTAGACAGAAGCAATCTCAGAATCTTCTTTGGGATATATGCACGCAGCTAACAGAGTTGAACCTTTCTATTGACAGAGCAGTTTTGAAACAGTCTTTCTGTGGAATTTGCAAGTGGATATTTGGATAGCTTGGAGGATTTCGTTGGAAACGGGATTACGTATAAAAAGTAGACAGCACCATCCTCAGAAACTTCTTTGTGATGTGTGCATTCAAGTCACAGAGTTGAACATTCCCTTTCGTACAGCAGTTTTGAAACACTCTTTCTGTAGTATCTGGAAGTGAACATTAGGACAGCTTTCAGGTCGATGGTGAGAAAGGAAATACCTTCAAATAAAAACTAGACAGAAGCATTCTCATAAACTTGTTTGTGATGTGTGAACTCAGCTAACAGAGGTGGATCTTTCTTTTGATAGAGCAGTTCTGAAAAACACTTTTTGTTGAATCTGCAAGTGGACATTTGGATAGATTTGAAGATTTCGTTCCAAACGGGAATATCTTCATATCAAATCTAGACAGAAGCATTCTCAGAAAACGTCTTTGTGATGTTTGCATTCAACTCATAGAGTTGAACATTCCGTTTCAGAGAGCAGGTTTGAAGCACTCTTTTTGTAGTATGTGCAAGTGGATATTTGGAGCGCTCTGAGGCCTACGGTGAAAAAGCAAATATCTTCCCATAACCACTAGACAGAAACATTCTCAGAAACTCCTTTATGACGTATGCACTCACCTAACAGAGAAGAACCTTCCTTTTGACAGAGCAGTTTTGATACACTCTTTTTGTAGAATCTGCAAGTGGATATTTGGATACCTGTGAAGATTTCGTTGGAAACGGGAATATCTTCCTATAAAATCTAGACAGAAGCATTCTCAGAAACTGCTCTGGGATGTCTGCATTCAAGTCACAGAGTTGAACATTGCCTTTCATAGAGCAGGTTTGAAACGCTCTTTTTGTAGTATATGGAAGTGGACTTATCGGACGGTTTGAGGCCCATGGTGATAAAGGGAATATCTTCCCCTACAAGCTAGAAAGAAGCATTCTGTGAAACTTGTTTGTGATGTGTGTACTCAACTAACAGAGTTGAACCTCTCTTTTTACAGAGCAGTTTTGAAACACTCTTTTTGTAGAATCTGCGAGGGGATATTTGGATACATTTCAGCATTTCGTTGGAAACGGGAATATCTTCATATAAAATCTCGACAGAAGCATTCTCAGAAACTTCTTTGTGATATCTGCATTCAAGTCACAGAGTTGAATATTCCCTTTCACAGAGTAGGTTTGAAACACTCTTTTTGTAGTATCTGGAAGTGGACATTTGGAGCGCCTTGACGCCTACGGTGAAAAGGGAAATATCTTCCATAAAAACTAGACAGAAGCAATCTCAGAATCTTCTTTGGGATATATGCACGCAGCTAACAGAGTTGAACCTTTCTATTGACAGAGTAGTTTTGAAACAGTCTTTCTGTGGAATCTGCAAGTGGATATTTGGATAGCTTGGAGGATTTCGTTGGAAACGGGATTAAGTATAAAAAGTAGACAGCAGCATCCTCAGAAACTTCTTTGTGATGTGTGCATTCAAGTCACAGAGTTGAACATTCCCTTTCCCACAGCAGTTTTGAAACACTCTTTCTGTAGTATCTGGAAGTGAACATTAGGACAGCTTTCAGGTCTATGGTGAGAAAGGAAATATCTTCAAATAAAAACTAGACAGAAGCATTCTCATAAACTTGTTTGTGATGTGTGAACTCAGCTAACAGAGGTGGATCTTTCTTTTGATACAGCAGTTCTGAAAAACACTTTTTGTTGAATCTGCAAGTGGACATTTGGATAGATTTGAAGATTTCGTTGGAAACGGGAATATCTTCATATCAAATCTAGACAGAAGCATTCTCAGAAACGTCTTTCCGATGTTTGCATTCAACTCATAGAGTTGAACATTCCGTTTCAGAGAGCAGCTTTGAGGCACTCTTTTTGTAGTATGTGCAAGTGGATATTTGGAGCGCTCTGAGGCCTACGGTGAAAAAGCAAATATCTTCCCATAACCACTAGACAGAAACATTCTCAGAAACTCCGTTTATGACGTATGCACTCACCTAACAGAGAAGAACCTTTCTTTTGACAGAGCAGTTTTCATACACTCTTTTGGTAGAATCTGCAAGTGGATATTTGGATAGCTGTGAAGATTTCGTTGGAAACGGGAATATCTTCCTATAAAATCTAGACAGAAGCATTCTCAGAAACTGCTCTGTGATGTCTGCATTCAAGTCACAGAGTTCAACATTGCCTTTCATAGAGCAGGTATGATACGCTCTTTTTGTAGTATGTGGAAGTGGACGTTTCGGACGGTTTGAGGCCCATGGTGATAAAGGGAATATCTTCCCCTACAAGCTAGAAAGAAGCATTCTGTGAAACTTGTTTGTGATGTGTGTACTCAACTAACAGGGTTGAACCTTTCTTTTTACAGAGCAGTTTTGAAACACCCTTTGTAGAATCTGCGAGGGGATATTTGGATAGATTTCAGGATTTCGTTGGAAACGGGAATATCTTCATATAAAATCTCGACAGAAGCATTCTCAGAGACTTCATTGTGATATCTGCATTCAAGTCACAGAGTTGAATATTCCCTTTCACAGGGTAGGTTTGAAACACTCTTTTTGTAGTATCTGGAAGTGGACATTTGGAGCGCCTTGACACCTACGGTGAAAAGGGAAATATCTTCCCATAAAAACTAGACAGAAGCAATCTCAGAATCTTCTTTGGGATATATGCACGCAGCTAACAGAGTTGAACCTTTCTATTGACAGAGCAGTTTTGAAACAGTCTTTCTGTGGAATCTGCAAGTGGATATTTGGATAGCTTGGAGGATTTCGTTGGAAACGTCATTACGTATAAAAAGTAGACAGCAGCATCCTCAGAAACTACTTTGTGATGTGTGCATTCAAGTCACAGAGTTGAACATTCCCTTTCGTACAGCAGTTTTGAAACACTCTTTCTGTAGTATCTGGAAGTGAACATTAGGACAGCTTTCAGGTCTATGGTGAGAAAGGCAATATCTTCAAATAAAAACTAGATAGAAGCATTCTCATAAACCTGTTTGTGATGTGTGAACTCAGCTAACCGAGGTGGATCTTTCTTTTGATAGAGCAGTTCTGAAAAACACTTTTTGTTGAATCTGCAAGTGGACATTTGGATAGATTTGAAGATTTCGTTGGAAACGGGAATATCTTCATATCAAATCTAGACAGAAGCATTCTCAGAAACGTGTTTGTGATGTTTGCATTCAACCCATAGAGTTGAAGATTCCGTTTCAGAGAGCAGCTTTGAAGCGCTCTTTTTGTAGTATGTGCAAGGGGATATTTTGAGCGCTCTGAGGCCTAAGGTGAAAAAGCAAATATCTTCCCATAACCACTAGACAGAAACATTCTCAGAAACTTCTTTATGACGTATGTACTCAACTAGTAGAGAAGAACTTTCCTTTTGACAGAGCATTTTTGATACACTCTTGTTGTACTATCTGCAAGTGGATATTTGGATAGCTGTGAAGATTTCGTTGGAAACGGGAATATCTTCCTATAAAGTCTGGACAGAAGCATTCTCAGAAACTGCTCTGTGATGTCTGCATTCAAGTCACAGAGTTGAACATTGCCTTTCATAGAGCAGGTTTGAAACCCTCTTTTTGTAGTATATGGAAGTGGACGTTTCGGACGGTTTGAGGCCCATGGTGATAAAGGGAATATCTTCCCCTACCAGCTAGAAAGAAGCATTCTGTGAAACTTGTTTGTGGTGTGTGTACTCATCTTACAGAGTTGAACCTTTCTTTTTACAGAGCAGTTTTGAAACACTCTTTTTGTAGAATCTGCGAGGGGTTATTTGGATAGATTTCAGGATTTCGTTGGAAACGGGAATATCTTCATATAAAATCTCGACAGAAGCATTCTCAGAAACTTCTTTGTGATATGTGCATTCAAGTCACAGAGTTGAATATTCCCTTTCACAGAGTAGGTTTGAAACACTCTTTTTGTAGTATCTGGAAGTGGACATTTGGAGCGCCTTGACGCCTACGGAGAAAAGGGAAATATCTTCCCATAAAAACTAGACAGAAGCAATCTCAGAATCTTCTTTGGGATATATGTACGCAGCTAATAGAGTTGAACCTTTCTATTGACAGAGCAGTTTTGAAACAGTCTTTCTGTGGAATCTGCAAGTGGATATTTGGATAGCTTGGAGGATTTCGTTGGAAACGGGATTACGTATAAAAAGTAGACAGCAGCATCCTCAGAAACTTCTTTGTGATGTGTGCATTCAAGTCACAGAGTTGAACATTCCCTTTCGTACAGCAGTTTTGAAACACTCTTTCTGTAGTATCTGGAAGTGAACATTAGGACAGCTTTCAGGTCTATGGTGAGAAAGGAAATATCTTCAAATAAAAACAAGACAGAAGCATTCTCATAAACTTGTTTGTGATGTGTGAACTCAGCTAACAGAGGTGGATCTTTCTTTTGATAGAGCAGTTCTGAAAAACACTTTTTGTTGAATCTGCAAGTGGACATTTGGATAGATTTGAAGATTTCGTTGGAAACGGGAATATCTTCATATCAAATGTAGACAGAAGCATTCTCAGAAACGTCTTTGTGATGTTTGCATTCAACTCATAGAGTTGAACATTCCCTTTCAGAGAGCAGCTTTGAAGCACCTCTTTTTGTAGTATGTGCAAGTGGATATTTGGAGCGCTGTGAGGCCTACGGTGAAAAAGCAAATATCTTCCCATAACCACTAGACAGAAACATTCTCAGAAACTCCTTTATGACGTATGCACTCACCTAACAGAGAAGAACCTTCCTTTTGACAGAGTAGTTTGGATACACTCTTTTTGTAGAATCTGCAAGTGGATATTAGGATAGCTGTGAAGATTTCGTTGGAAACGGGAATATCTTCCTATAAAATCTAGACAGAAGCATTCTCAGAAACTGCTCTGTGATGTCTGCATTCAAGTCACAGAGTTGAACATTGCTTTTCCTAGAGCAGGTTTGAAACGCTCTTTTTGTAGTATATGGAAGTGGACGTTTCGGACGGTTTGAGGCCCATGGTGTTAAAGGGAAATATCTTTCCCTACAAGCTAGAAAGAAGCATTCTGTGAAACTTGTTTGTGATGTGTGTACTCAACTAACAGAGTTGAACCTTTCTTTTTACAGAGCAGTTTTGAAACACTCTTTTTGTAGAATCTGCGAGGGGATATTTGGATAGATTTCAGGATTTCGTTGGAAACGGGAATATCTTCATAGAAAATCTCGACAGAAGCATTCTCTGAAACTTCTTTGTGATATGTGCACTCAAGTCACAGAGTTGAATATTCCCTTTCACAGAGTAGGTTTGAAACACTCTTTTTGTAGTATCTGGAAGTGGACATTTGTAGCTCCTTGACACCTACGGTGAAAAGGGAAATATCTTCCCATAAAAACTAGACAGAAGCAATCTCAGAATCTTCTTTGGGATATATGCACGCAGCTAACAGAGTTGAACCTTTCTATTGACAGACCAGTTTTGAAACAGTCTTTCTGTGGAATCTGCAAGTGGATATTTGGATAGCTTGGAGGATTTCGTTGGAAACGGGATTACGCATAAAAAGTAGACAGCAGCATCCTCCGAAACTTCTTTGTGATGTGTGCATTCAAGTCACAGAGTTGAACATTCCCTTTCGTACAGCAGTTTTGAAACACTCTTTCTGTAGTATCTGGAAGTGAACATTAGGACAGCTTTCAGCTCTATGGTGAGAAAGGAAATATCTTCAAATAAAAACTAGACAGAAGCATTCTCATAAACTTGTTTGCGATGTGTGAACTCAGCTAACAGAGATGGATCTTTCTTTTGATAGAGCAGTTCTGAAAAACACTTTTTGTTGAATCTGCAAGTGGACATTTGGATAGATTTGAAGATTTCGTTGGAAACGGGAATATCTTCATATCAAATCTAGACAGAAGCATTCTCCGAAACGTCTTTGCGATGTTTGCATTCAACTCATAGAGTTGAACATTCCGTTTCAGAGAGCAGCTTTGAGGCACTCTTTTTGTAGTATGTGCAAGTGGATATTTGGAGCGCTCTGAGGCCTACGGTGAAAAAGCAAATATCTTCCCATAACCACTAGACAGAAGCATTCTCAGAAACTCCTTTATGACGTATGCACTCACCTAACAGAAAAGAACCTTCCTTTTGACAGAGCAGTTTTGATACACTCTTTTTGTAGAATCTGCAAGTGGATATTTGGATAGCTGTGAAGATTTCGTTGGAAACGGGAATATCTTCCTATAAAATTTAGACAGAAGCATTCTCAGAAACTGCTCTGTGATGTCTGCATTCAAGTCACAGAGTTGAACATTGCCTTTCATACAGCAGGTTTGAAATGCTCTTTTTGTAGTATATGGAAGTGGACTTTTCGGACGGTTTGAGGACCATGGTGATAAAGGGGAATCTTCCCCTACAAGCTAGAAAGAAGCATTCTGTTAAACTTGTTTGTGATGTGTGTACTCAACTAATAGATTTGAACCTTTCTTTTTACAGAGCAGTTTTGAAACACTCTTTTTGTAGAATCTGCGAGGGGATATTTGGATAGATTTCAGGATTTCGTTGGAAACGGGAATATCTTCATATAAAATCTCGAAAGAAGCATTCTCAGAAACTTCCTTGTGATATGTGCATTCAAGTCACAGAGTTGAATATTCCCTTTCACAGAGTAGGTTTGAAACACTCTTTTTGTAGTATCTGGAAGTCGACATTTGGAGCGCCTTGACACCTACGGTGAAAAGGGAAATATCTTCCCATAAAAACTAGACAGAAGCAATCTCAGAATCTTCTTTGGGATATATGCACGCAGCTAACAGAGTTGAACCTTTCTATTGACAGAGCAGTTTTGAAACAGTCTTTCTGTGGAATCTGTAAGTGGATATTTGGATAGCTTGGAGGATTTCGTTGGAAACGGGATTACGTATAAAAATTAGACAGCAGCATCCTCAGAAACTTCTTTGTGATGTGTGCATTCAAGTCACAGCAGTTGAACATTCCCTTTCGTACAGCAGTTTTGAAACACTCTTTCTGTAGTATCTGGAAGTGAACATTAGGACAGCTTTCAGGTCTAGGGTGAGAAAGGAAATACCTTCAAATAAAAACTAGACAGAAGCATTCTCATAAACTTGTTTGTGATGTGTTAACTCAGCTAACAGAGGTGGATCTTTCTTTTGATAGAGCAGTTCTGAAAAACACTTTTTGTTGAATCTGCAAGTGGACATTTGGATAGATTTGAAGATTTCTTTGGAAACGGGAATATCTTCATATCAAATCTAGACAGATAGGCATTCTCAGAAACGTCTTTGTGATGTTTGCATTCAACTCATAGAGTTGAACATTCCCTTTCAGAGAGCAGCTTTGAAGCACTCTTTTTGTAGTATGTGCAAGGGGATATTTGGAGCGCTCTGAGGCCTAAGGTGAAAAAGCAAATATCTTCCCATAACCACTAGACAGAAACATTCTCAGAAACTCCTTTATGACGTATGTACTCAACTAACAGAGAAGAACCTTCCTTTTGACAGAGCAGTTTTGATACACTCTTTTTGTAGAATCTGCAAGTGGATATTTGGATAGCTGTGAAGATTTCATTGGAAACGGGAATATCTTCCTATAAAATCCAGACAGAAGCATTCTCAGAAACTGCTCTGTGATGTCTGCATTCAAGTCACAGAGTTGAACATTGCCTTTCATAGAGTAGGTTTGAAACGCTCTTTTTGTAGTATATGGAAGTAGACGTTTCGGACGGTTTGAGGCCCATGGTGATAAAGGGAATATCTTCCCCTACAAGCTAGAAAGAAGCATTCTGTGAAACTTGTTTGTGATGTGTGTACTCAACTAACAGAGTTGGACCTTTCTTTTTACAGAGCAGTTTTGAAACACTCTTTTTGTAGAATCTGCGAGGGGATATTTGGATAGATTTCAGGATTTCGTTGGAAACGGGAATATCTTCATATAAAATCTCGACAGAAGCATTCTCAGAAACTTCCTTGTG
The DNA here is from genome assembly GCF_000001405.40 of Homo sapiens. Classification (NCBI taxonomy): domain Eukaryota; kingdom Metazoa; phylum Chordata; class Mammalia; order Primates; family Hominidae; genus Homo; species Homo sapiens. The sequence goes on from NC_000013.11 coordinate 17,333,854, forward strand.
ATATGTGCATTCAAGTCACAGAGTTGAATATTCCCTTTCACAGAGTAGGTTTGAAACTCTCTTTTTGTAGTATCTGGAAGTGGTCATTTGGAGCGCCTTGACGCCTACGGTGAAAAGGGAAATATCTTCCCATCAAAACTAGACAGAAGCAATCTCAGAATCTTCTTTGGGATATATGCACGCAGCTAACAGAGTTGAACCATTCTATTGACAGAGCAGTTTTGAAACAGTCTTTCTGTGGAATCTGCAAGTGGATATTTGGATAGCTTGGAGGATTTCGTTGGAAACGGGATTACGTATAAAAAGTAGACAGCAGCATCCTCAGTAAACATCCTTGTGATGTGTGCATTCAAGTCACAGAGTTGAACATTCCCTTTCGTACAGCAGTTTTGAAACACTCTTTCTGTAGTATCTGGAAGTGAACTTTAGGACAGCTTTCAGGTCTATAGTTAGAAAGGATATATCTTCAAATAAAAACTAGACGGAAGCATTCTCATAAACTTGTTTGTGATGTGTGAACTCAGCTAACAGAGGTGGACCTTTCTTTTGATAGAGCAGTTCTGAAAAACACTTTTTGTTGAATCTGCAAGTGGACATTTGGATAGATTTGAAGATTTCGTTGGAAACGGGAATATCTTCATATCAAATCTAGACAGAAGCATTCTCAGAAACGTCTTTGCGATGTTTGCATTCAACTCATAGAGTTGAACACTCCGTTTCAGAGAGCAGCTTTGAGGCACTCTTTTTGTAGTATGTGCAAGTGGATATTTGGAGCGCTCTGAGGCCTACGGTGAAAGAGCAAATATCTTCCCATAACCACTAGACAGAAACATTCTCAGAAACTCCTCTTATGACGTATGTCATCTCAACTAACAGAGAAGAACCTTCCTTTTGACAGAGCAGTTTTGATACACTCTTTTTGTAGAATCTGCAAGTGGATATTTGGATAGCTGTGAAGATTTCGTTGGAAACGGGAATATCTTCCTATATAATCTAGACAGAAGCATTCTCAGAAACTGCTCTGTGATGTGTGCATTCAAGTCACAGAGTTGAACATTGACTTTCATAGAGCAGGTTAGAAACGCTCTTTTTGTACTATATGGAAGAGGACGTTTCGGACGGTTTGAGGACCATGGTGATAAAGGGAATATCTTCCCCTACAAGCTAGAAAGAAGCATTCTGTGATACTTGTTTGTGATGTGTGTACTCAACTAACAGAGTTGAACCTTTCTTTTTACAGAACAGTTTTGAAACACTCTTTTTGTAGAATCTGCGAGGGGATATTTGGATAGATTTCAGGATTTCGTTGGAAACGGGAATATCTTCATATAAAATCTCGACAGAAGCATTCTCAGAAACTTCTTTGTGATATGTGCATTCAAGTCACAGAGTTGAATATTCCCTTTCACAGAGTAGGTTTGAAACACTCTTTTTGTAATATCTGGAAGTGGACATTTGGAGCACCTTGACGCCTACGGTGAAAAGGGAAATATCTTCCCATAAAAACTAGACAGAAGCAATCTCAGAATCTTCTTTGGGATATATGCATGCAGCTAACAGAGTTGAACCTTTCTATTGACAGAGCAGTTTTGAAACAGTCTTTCTGTGGAATCTGCAAGTGGATATTTGGATAGCCTGGAGGATTTCGTTGGAAACGGGATTACGTATAAAAAGTAGACAGCAGCATCCTCAGAAACTTCTTTGTGATGTGTGCATTCAAGTCACAGAGTTGAACATTCCCTTTCGTACAGCAGTTGTGAAACACTCTTTCTGTAGTATCTGCAAGTGAACATTAGGACAGTTTTCAGGTCTATGGTGAGAAAGGAAATATCTTCAAATAAAAACTAGACAGAAGCATTCTCATAAACTTGTTTGTGATGTGTGAACTCAGCTAACAGAGGTGGATCTTTCTTTTGATAGAGCAGTTCTGAAAAACACTTTTTGTTGAATCTGCAAGTGGACATTTGGATAGATTTGAAGATTTCGTTGGTAACGGGAATATCTTCATATCAAATCTAGACAGAAGCATTCTCAGAAACGTCTTTGTCATGTTTGCATTCAACTCATAGAGTTGAACATTCCCTTTCAGAGAGCAGCTTTGAAACACTCTTTTTGTAGTATGTGCAAGTGGATATTTGGAGCGCTCTGAGGCCTACGGTGAAAAAGCAAATATCTTCCCATAACCACTAGACTGAAACATTCTCAGAAACTTCTTTATGACGTATGTACTGAACTAGCAGAGAAGAACTGTCCTCTTGACAGAGCATTTTTGATACACTCTTTTTGTAGTATCTGCAAGTGGATATTTGGATAGCTGTGAAGATTTCGTTGGAATCGGGAATATCTTCCTATAAAGTCCGGACAGAAGCATTCTCAGAAACTGCTCTGTGATGTCTGCATTCAAGTCACAGAGCTGAACATTGCCTTTCATAGAGCAGGTTTGAAACGCTCTTTTTGTAGTATATGGAAGTGGACGTTTCGGACGGTTTGAGGCCCATGGTGATAAAGGGAATATACTTCCCCTACAAGCTAGAAAGAAGCATTCTGTGAAAATTGTTTGTGATGTGTGTACTCAACTAACAGAGTTGAACCTTTCTTTTTACAGAGCAGTTTTGAAACACTCTTTTTGTAGAATCTGCGAGGGGATATTTGGATAGATTTCAGGATTTTGTTGGAAACCGGAATATCTTAATATAAAATCTCGACAGAAGCATTCTCAGAAACTTTCCTTGTGATATGTGCATTCAAGTCACAGAGTTGAATATTCCCTTTCACAGAGTAGGTTTGAAACACTCTTTTTGTAGTATCTGGAAGTGGTCATTTGGAGCGCCTTGACGCCTACGGTGAAAAGGGAAATATCTTCCCATAAAAACTAGACAGAAGCAATCTCAGAAACTTCTTTGGGATATTTGCACGCAGCTAACAGAGTTGAACCTTTCTATTGACAGAGCAGTTTTGAAACAGTCTTTCTGTGGAATCTGCAAGTGGATATTTGGATAGCTTGGAGGATTTCGTTGGAAACGGGATTACGTGTAAAAATTAGACAGCAGCATCCTCAGAAACTTCTTTGTGATGTGTGCATTCAAGTCACAGAGTTGAACATTCCCTTTCGTACAGCAGTTTTGAAACACTCTTTCTGTAGTAACTGGAAGTGAACATTAGGACAGCTTTCAGGTCTATGGTGAGAAAGGAAATATCTTCAAATAAAAACTAGACAGAAGCATTCTCATAAACTTGTTTGTGATGTGTGAACGCAGCTAACACACGTGGATCTTTCTTTTGATAGAGCAGTTCTGAAAAACACTTTTTGTTGAATCTGCAAGTGGACATTTGGATAGATTTGAAGATTTCTTTGGAAACGGGAATATCTTCATATCAAATCTAGACAGAAGCATTCTCAGAAACGTCTTTGTGATGGTAGCATTCAGCTCATACAGTTGAACATTCCCTTTCAGAGAGCAGCTTTGAAGCACTCTTTTTGTAGTATGTGCAAGTGGACATTTGGAGCGCTTTGAGGTCTACGGGGAAAAAGCAAATATCTTCCCATATCCCCTAGACAGGAACATTCTCAGAAACTCCTTTATGACGTATGTACTCAACTAACGGAGAAGAACCTTCCTTTTGACAGAGCAGTTTTGATACACTCTTTTTGTAGAATCTGCAAGTGGATATTTGGATAGCTGTGAAGATTTCGTTGGAAACGGGAATATCTTCCTATAAAATCTAGACAGAAGCATTCTCAGAAACTGCTCTGTGATGTCTGCATTCAAGTCACAGAGTTGAACATTGCCTTTCCTAGAGCAGGTTTGAAACGCTCTTTGTGTAGTATATGGAAGTGGACGTTTCGGACGGTTTGAGGCCCATGGTGATAAAGGGAATATCTTCCCCTACAAGCTAGAAAGAAGCATTCTCATCAACTTGTTTGTGATGTGTGAACTCAGCTAACAGAGGTGGATCTTTCTTTTGATAGAGCAGTTCTGAAAAACACTTTTTGTTGAATCTGCAAGTGGACATTTGGATAGATTTGAAGATTTCGTTGGAAACGGGAATATCTTCATATAAAATCTCGACAGAAGCATTCTCAGAAACTTCCTTGTGATATGTGCATTCAAGTCACAGAGTTGAATATTCCCTTTCACAGAGTAGGTTTGAAACACTCTTTTTGTAGTATCTGGAAGTGGACATTTGGAGCGCCTTGACACCTACGGTGAAAAGGGAAATATCTTCCCATCAAAACTAGACAGAAGCTATCTCAGAATCTTCTTTGGGATATATGCACGTAGCTAACAGAGTTGAACCTTTCTTTTGACAGAGCAGTTTTGAAACAGTCTTTCTGTGGAATCTGCAAGTGGATATTTGGATAGCTTGGAGGATTTCGTTGGAAACGGGATTATGTATAAAAAGTAGACAGCAGCATCCTCAGAAACTTCTTTGTGATGTGTGCATTCAAGTCACAGAGTTGAACATTCCCTTTCGTACAGCAGTTTTGAAACACTCTTTCTGTAGTATCTGGAAGTGAACATTAGGACAGCTTTCAGCTCCTATGGTGAGAAAGGAAATATCTTCAAATAAAAACTAGACAGAAGCATTCTCATAAACTTGTTTGTGATGTGTGAACTCAGCTAACAGACGTGGATCTTTCTTTTGATACAGCAGTTTTGAAAAACACTTTTTGTTGAATCTGCAAGTGGACATTTGGATAGATTTGAAGATTTCCTTGGAAACGGGAATATCTTCATATCAAATCTAGACAGAAGCATTCTTGGAAACGTCTTTGTGATGTTTGCATTCAACTCATAGAGTTGAACATTCCGTTTCAGAGAGCAGCTTTGAAGCACTCTTTTTGTAGTATGTGCAAGTGGATATTTGGAGCGCTCTGAGGCCTACGGTGAAAAAGCAAATATCTTCCCATAACCACTACACAGAAACATTCTCAGAAACTCCTTTATGACGTATGCACTCACCTAACAGAGAAGAACCTTCCTTTTGACAGACCACTTTTGATACACTCTTTTTGTAGAATCTGAAAGTGGATATTTGGATAGCTGTGAAGATTTCGTTGGAAACGGGAATATCTTCCTATAAAATCTAGACAGAAGCATTCTCAGAAACTGCTCTGTGATGTCTGCATTCAAGTCACAGAGTTCAACATTGCCTTTCATAGAGCAGGTTTGAAACGCTCTTTTTGTAGTATATGGAAGTGGATGTTTCGGACGGTTGGAGTCCCATGGTGATAAAGGGAATATCTTCCCCTACAAGCTAGAAAGAAGCATTCTGTGAAACTTGTTTGTGATGTGTGTACTCAACTAACAGAGTTGAACCTTTCTTTTCACAGAGCAGTTTTGAAACACTCTTTTTGTAGAATCTGCGAGCGGATATTTGGATAGATTTCAGGATTTCGTTGGAAACGGGAATATCTTCATATAAAATCTCGACAGAAGCATTCTCAGAAGCTTCGTTGTGATATGTGCATTCAAGTCACAGAGTTGAATATTCCCTTACACAGAGTAGGTTTGAAACACACTTTTTGTAGTATCTGGAAGTGGACTTTTGGAGCGCCTTGATGCCTACGGTGAAAAGGGAAATATCTTCTCATAAAAAGTAGACAGAAAGCAATCTCAGAAATCTTCTTTGGGATATATGCACGCAGCTAACAGAGTTGAACCTTTCTATTGACAGAGCAGTTTTGAAACAGTCTTTCTGTGGAATCTGCAAGTGGATATTTGGATAGCTTGGAGGATTTCGTTGGAAACGGGATTAAGTATAAAAAGTAGACAGCAGCATCCTCAGAAACATCCTTGTGATGTGTGCATTCAAGTCACAGAGTTGAACATTCCCTTTCCTACAGCAGTTTTGAAACACTCTTTCTGTAGTATCTGGAAGTGAACTTTAGGAGAGCTTTCAGGTCTATAGTGAGAAAGGATATATCTTCAAATAAAAGCTAGACAGAAGCATTCTGATAAACTTGTTTGTGAAGTGTGATCTCAGCTAACAGAGGTGGATCTTTCTTTTGATAGAGCAGTTCTGAAAAACACTTTGTTGAATCTGCAAGTGGACATTTGGATAGATTTGAAGATTTCTTTGGAAACGGGAATATCTTCATATCAAATCTAGACAGAAAGCATTCTCAGAAACGTCTTTGTCATGTTTGCATTCAACTCATAGAGTTGAACATTCCCTTTCAGAGAGCAGCTTTGAAACACTCTTTTTGTAGTATGTGCAAGTGGATATTTGGAGCGCTCTGAGGCCTACGGTGAAAAAGCAAATATCTTCCCATAACCACTAGACAGAAACATTCTCAGAAACTCCTTTATGACGTATGCACTCACCTAACAGAGAAGAACCTTCCTTTTGACAGAGCAGTTTTGATACACTCTTTTTGTAGAATCTGCAAGTGGATATTTGGATAGCTGTGAAGATTTCGTTGGAAACGGGAATATCTTCCTATAAAATCTATACAGAAGGATTCTCAGAAACTGCTCTGTGATGTCTGCATTCAAGTCACAGAGTTGAACATTGCCTTTCATAGAGCAGGTTTGAAACGCTCTTTTTGTAGTATATGGAAGTGGACTTTTCGGACGGTTTGAGGCCCATGGTGATAAAGGGAATATCTTCCCCTACAAGCTAGAAAGAAGCATTCTCTGAAACTTGTTTGTGATGTGTGTACTCAACTAACAGAGTTGAACCTTTCTTTTTACAGAGCACTTTTGAAACACTCTTTTTGTAGAATCTGCGAGGGGATATTTGGATAGATTTCAGGATTTCGTTGGAAACGGGAATATCTTCATATAAAATCTCGACAGAAGCATTCTCAGAAACTTCTTTGTGATATGTGTATTCAAGTCACAGAGTTGAATATTCGCTTTCATAGAGTAGGTTTGAAACACTCTTTTTGTAGTATCTGGAAGTGGATATTTGGAGCGCCTTGACGCCTACGGTGAAAAGGGAAATATCTTCCCATAAAAACTAGACAGAAGCAATCTCAGAATCTTCTTTGGGATATATGTACGCAGCTAATAGAGTTGAACCTTTCTATTGACAGAGCAGTTTTGAAACAGTCTTTCTGTGGAATCTGCAAGTGGATATTTGGATAGCTTGGAGGATTTCGTTGGAAACGGGATTACGGTATAAAAAGTAGACAGCAGCATCCTCAGAAACTTCCTTGTGATGTGTGCATTCAAGTCACAGAGTTGAACATTCCCTTTCGTACAGCATTTTTGAAACACTCTTTCTGTAGTATCTGGAAGTGAACTTTATGAGAGCTTTCAGGTCTATAGTGAGAAAGGATATATCTTCAAATAAAAACTAGACAGAAGCATTCTCATAAACTTGTTTGTGATGTGTGAACTCAGCTAACAGAGGTGGATCTTTCTTTTGATAGAGCAGTTCTGAAAAACACGTTTTGTTGAATCTGCAAGTGGACATTTGGATAGATTTGAAGATGTCATTGGAAACGGGAATATCTTCATATCAAATCTAGACAGAAGCATTCTCAGAAACGTCTTTGTGATGTTTGCATTCAACTCATAGAGTTGAACATTCCGTTTCAGAGACCAGCTTTGAAGCACTCTTTTTGTAGTATGTGCAAGTGGATATTTGGAGCGCTCTGAGGCCTACGGTGAAAAAGCAAATATCTTCCCATAACCACTAGACAGAAAACATTCTCAGTAAACTCCTTTATGACGTATGCACTCACCTAACAGAGGAAGAACCTTCCTTTTGACAGAGCAGTTTTGATACACTCTTTTTGTAGAATCTGCAAGTGGATATTTGGATAGCTGTGAATATTTCGTTGGAAACGGGAATATCTTCCTATAAAATCTAGACAGAAGCATTCTCAGAAACTACTCTGTGATGTCTGCATTCAAGTCACAGAGTTGAACATTGCCTTTCCTAGAGCAGGTTTGAAACGCTCTTTTTGTAGTATATGGAAGTGGACGTTTCGGACGGTTTGAGGACCATGGTGATAAAGGGAATATCTTCCCCTACAAGCTAGAAAGAAGCATTCTGTGAAACTTGTTTGTGAGGTGTGTACTCAACTAACAGAGTTGAACCTTTCTTTTTACAGAGCAGTTTTGAAACACTCTTTTTGTAGAATCTGCGAGGGGATATTTGGATAGATTTCAGGATTTCGTTGGAAAGGGGAATATCTTCATATAAAATTCTCGACAGAAGCATTCTCAGAAACTTCTTTGTGATATGTGCATTCAAGTCACAGAGTTGAATATTCCCTTTCACAGAGTAGGTTTGAAACACTCTTTTTGTAGTATCTGGAAGTGGACATTTGGAGCGCCTTGACAACTACGGTGAAAAGGGAAATATCTTCCCATAAAAACTAGACAGAAGCAATCTCAGAATCTTCTTTGGGATATATGCACGCAGCTAACAGAGTTGAACCTTTCTATTGACAGAGCAGTTTTGAAACAGTCTTTCTGTGGAATCTGCAAGTGGATATTTGGATAGCTTGGAGGATTTCGTTGGAAACGGGATTACGTATAAAAAGTAGCCAGCAGCATCCTCAGAAACTTCTTTGTGATGTGTGCATTCAAGTCACAGAGTTGAACATTCCCTTTCGTACAGCAGTTTTGAAACACTCTTTCTGTAGTATCTGGAAGTGAACATTAGGACAGCTTTCAGGTGTATGGTGAGAAAGGAAATATCTTCAAATAAAAACTAGACAGAAGCATTCTCATAAACTTGTTTGTGATGTGTGAACTCAGCTAACACACGTGGATCTTTCTTTTGATAGAGCAGTTCTGAAAAACACTTTTTGTTGAATCTGCAAGAGGACATTTGGATAGATTTGAAGATTTCGTTGGAAACGGGAATATCTTCATATCAAATCTAGACAGAAGCATTCTCAGAAACGTCGTTGTGATGTTTGCATTCAACTCATAGAGTTGAACATTCCCTTTCAGAGAGCAGCTTTGAAGCACTCTTTTTGTAGTATGTGCAAGTGGACATTTGGAGCGCTTTGAGGCGTACGGGGAAAAAGCAAATATCTTCCCATAACCACCAGACAGAAACATTCTCAGAAACTCCTTTATGACGTATGCACTCACCTAACAGAGAAGAACCTGCCTTTTGACAGAGCAGTTTTGATACACTCTTTTTGTAGAATCTGCAAGTGGATATTTGGATAGCTGTGAAGATTTCGTTGGAAACGGGAATATCTTCCTATAAAATCTAGACAGAAGCATTCTCAGAAACTGCTCTGTGATGTCTGCATTCAAGTCACAGAGTTGAACGTTGCCTTTCATAGAGCAGGTTTGAAACACTCTTTTTGTAGTATATGGAAGTGGACGTTTCGGACGGTTTGAGGCCCATGGTGATAAAGGGAATATCTTCCCCTACAAGCTAGAAAGAAGCATTCTGTGAAACTTGTTTGTGATGTGTGTACTCAACTAACAGAGTTGAACCTTTCTTTTTACAGAGCAGTTTTGAAACACTCTTTTTGTAGAATCTGCGAGGGGATATTTGGATAGATTTCAGGATTTCGTTGGAAAAGGGAATATCTTCATATAAAATCTCGACAGAAGCATTCTCAGAAACTTCTTTGTGATATGTGCATTCAAGTCACAGAGTTGAATATTCCCTTTCACAGAGTAGGTTTGAAACACTCTTTTTGTAGTATCTGGAAGTGGACATTTGGAGCGCGTTGACACCTATGGTGAAAAGGGAAATATCTTCCCATAAAAACTAGACAGAAGCAATCTCAGAATCTTCTTTGGGATATATGCACGCAGCTAACAGAGTTGAACCTTTCTATTGACAGAGCAGTTTTGAAACAGTCTTTCTGTGGAATCTGCAAGTGGATATTTGGATAGCTTGGAGGATTTCGTTAGAAACGGGATTACGTATAAAAAGTAGAAAGCAGCATCCTCAGAAACTTCTTTGTGATGTGTGCATTCAAGTCACAGAGTTGAACATTCCCTTTCGTACAGCAGTTTTGAAACACTCTTTCTGTAGTATCTGGAAGTGAACATTAGGAAAGCTTTCAGGTCTATGGTGAGAAAGGAAATATCTTCAAATAAAAACTAGACAGAAGCATTCTCATAAACTTGTTTGTGATGTGTGAACTCAGCTAACAGACGTGGATCTTTCTTTTGATACAGCAGTTTTGAAAAACACTTTTTGTTGAATCTGCAAGTGGACATTTGGATAGATTTGAAGATTTCGTTGGAACCGGGAATATCTTCATATCAAATCTAGACAGAAGCATTCTCAGAAACGTCTTTGTGATGTTTGCATTCAACTCATAGAGTTGAACATTCCCTTTCAGAGAGCAGCTTTGAAGCACTCTTTTTGTAGTATGTGCAAGGGGATATTTGGAGCGCTCTGAGGCCTACGGTGAAAAAGCAAATATCTTCCCATAACCACTAGACAGAAACATTCTCAGAAACTCCTTTATGACGTATGCACTCACCTAACAGAGAAGAACCTTCCTTTTGACAGAGCAGTTTTGATACACTCTTTTTGTAGAATCTGCAAGTGGATATTTGGATAGCTGTGAAGGTTTCTTTGGAAACGGAAATATCTTCCTATAAAATCTAGACAGAAGCATTCTCAAAACTGCTCTGTGATGTCTGCATTCAAGTCACAGAGTTGAACATTGCCTTTCATAGAGCAGGTTTGAAACGCTCTTTTTGTAGTATATGGAAGTAAACGTTTCGGACGGTTTGAGGCCCATGGTGATAAAGGGAATATCTTCCCCTACAAGCTAGAAAGAAGCATTCTGTGAAACTTGTTTGTGATGTGTGTACTCAACTAACAGAGTTGAACCTTTCTTTTTACAGGAGCAGTTTTGAAACACTCTTTTTGTAGAATCTGCGAGGGGATATTTGGATACATTTCAGGATTTCGTTGGAAACGGGAATATCTTCATATAAAATCTCGACAGAAGCATTCTCAGAAACTTCTTTGTGGTATGTGCATTCAAGTCACAGAGTTGAATATTCCCTTTCACAGAGTATGTTTGAAACACTCTTTTTGTAGTATCTGGAAGTGGACATTTGGAGCGCCTTGACGCCTACGGTGAAAAGGGAAATATCTTCCCATAAAAACTAGACAGAAGCAATCTCAGAATCTTCTTTGTGATATATGCACGCAGCTAACAGAGTTGAACCTTTCTATTGACTGAGCAGATTTGAAACAGTCTTTCTGTGGAATCTGCAAGTGGATATTTGGATAGATTGGAGGATTTCGTTGGAAACGGGATTACGTATAAAAAGTAGACAGCAGCATCCTCAGAAACTTCTTTGTGATGTGTGCATTCAAGTCACAGAGTTGAACATTCCCTTTCGTACAGCAGTTTTGAAACACTCTTTCTGTAGTATCTGGAAGTGAACATTAGGACAGCTTTCAGCTCTACGGTGAGAAAGGAAATATCTTCAAATAAAAACTAGACAGAAGCATTCTCATAAACTTGTTTGTGATGTGTGAACTCAGTTAACAGAGGTGGATCTTTCTTTTGATAGAGCAGTTCTGAAAAACACTTTTTGTTGAATCTGCAAGTGGACATTTGGATAGATTTCAAGATTTCGTTGGAAACGGGAATATCTTCATATCAAATCTAGACAGAAGCATTCTCAGAAACGTCTTTGTGATGTTAGCATTCAACTCATAGAGTTGAACATTCCCTTTCAGAGAGCAGCTTTGAAGCACTCTTTTTGTTGTATGTGCAAGTGGATATTTGGAGCGCTCTGAGGCCTATGGTGAAAAAGCAAATATCTTCCCATAACCACTAGACAGAAACATTCTCAGAAACTCCTTTATGACGTATGCACTCACCTAACAGAGAAGAACCTTCCTTTTGACAGAGCAGTTTTGATACACTCTTTTTGTAGAATATGCAAGTGGATATTTGGATAGCTGTGAAGATTTCGTTGGAAACGGGAATATCTTCCTATAAATTCTAGACAGAAGCATTCTCAGAAACTGCTCTGTGATGTCTGCATTCAAGTCACAGAGTTGAACATTGCCTTTCATAGAGCAGGTTTGAAACGCTCTTTTTGTAGTATATGGAAGTGGATGTTTCTGACGGTTGGAGGCCCATGGTGATAAAGGGAATATCTTCCCCTACAAGCTAGAAAGAAGCATTCTGTGAAACTTGTTTGTGATGTGTGTACTCAACTAACAGAGTTGAACCTTTCTTTTCACAGAACAGTTTTGAAACACTCTTTTTGTAGAATCTGCGAGCGGATATTTGGATAGATTTCAGGATTTCGTTGGAAACGGGAATATCTTCATATAAAATCTCGACAGAAGCATTCTCAGAAACTTCTTTGTGATATCTCCATTCAAGTCACAGAGTTGAATATTCCCTTTCACAGAGTAGGATTGAAACACTCTTTTTGTAGTATCTGGAAGTGGACATTTGGAGCGCCTTGACACCTATGGTGAAAAGGGAAATATCTTCCCATAAAAACTAGACAGAAGCAATCTCAGAATCTTCTTTGGGATATATGCACGCAGCTAACAGAGTTGAACCTTTCTATTGACAGACCAGTTTTGAAACAGTCTTTCTGTGGAATCTGCAAGTGGATATTTGGATAGCTTGGAGGATTTCGTTGGAAACGGGATTACGTATAAAAAGTAGACAGCAGCATCCTCAGAAACTTCTTTGTGATGTGTGCATTCAAGTCACAGAGTTGAACATTCCCTTTCGTACAGCAGTTTTGAAACACTCTTTCTGTAGTATCTGGAAGTGAATATTAGGACAGCTTTCACGTCTATATTGAGAAAGGAAATATCTTCAAATAAAAACTAGACAGAAGCATTCTCATAAACTTGTTTGTGATGTGTGAACTCAGCTAACAGAGTTGGATCTTTCTTTTGATAGAGCAGTTCTGAAAAACACTTTTTGTTGAATCTGCAAGTGGACATTTGGATAGATTTGAAGATTTCGTTGGAAACGGGAATATCTTCATATCAAATCTAGACAGAAGCATTCTCAGAAACGTCTTTGCGATGTTTGCATTCAACTCATAGAGTTGAACATTCCGTTTCAGAGAGCAGCCTTGAGGCACTCTTTTTGTAGTATGTGCAAGTGGATATTTGGAGCGCTCCTGAGGCCTACGGTGAAAAAGCAAATATCTTCCCATAACCACTAGACAGAAACATTCTCAGAAACTCCTTTATGACGTATGCACTCACCTAACAGAGAAGAACCTTCCTTTTGACAGAGCAGTTTTGATACACTCTTTTTGTAGAATCTGCAAGTGGATATTTGGATAGCTGTGAAGATTTTGTTGGAAACGGGAATATCTTCCTATAAAATCTAGACAGAAGCATTCTCAGAAACTGCTCTGTGATGTCTGCATTCAAGTCACAGAGCTGAACATTGCCTTTCATAGAGAAGGTTTGAAACGCTCTTTTTGTAGTATATGGAAGTGGACGTTTCGGACAGTTTGAGGCCCATGGTGATAAAGGGAATATCTTCCCCTACAAGCTAGAAAGAAGCATTCTGTGAAACTTGTTTGTGATGTGTGTACTCAACTAACAGAGTTGAACCTTTCTTTTTACAGAGCAGTATTGAAACACTCTTTTTGAAGAATCTGCGAGGGGATATTTGAATAGATTTCAGGATTTCGTTGGAAACGGGAATATCTTCATATAAAATCTCGACAGAAGCATTCTCAGAAACTTCTTTGTGATATGTGCATTCAAGTCACAGAGTTGAATATTCCCTTTCACAGAGTAGGTTTGAAACACTCTTTTTGTAGTATCTGGAAGTGGACATTTGGAGCGCCTTGACGCCTAGGGTGAAAAGGGAAATATCTTCCCATAAAAACTAGACAGAAGCAATCTCAGAATCTTCTTTGGGATATATGCACGCAGCTAACAGAGTTGAACCTTTCTATTGACAGAGCAGTTTTGAAACAGTCTTTCTGTGGAATCTGCAAGTGGATATTTGGATAGCTTGGAGGATTTTTTTGGAAACGGGATTACGTATAAAAAGTAGACAGCAGCATCCTCAGAAACTTCTTTGTGATGTGTGCATTCAAGTCACAGAGTTGAACATTCCCTTTCGTACAGCAGTTTTGAAACACTCTTTCTGTAGTATCTGGAAGTGAACATTAGGACAGCTTTCAGGTCTATGGTAAGAAAGGAAATATCTTCAAATAAAAACTAGACAGAAGCATTCTCATAAACTTGTTTGTGATGTGTGAACTCAGCTAACAACGGTGGATCTTTCTTTTGATAGAGCAGTTCTGAAAAACACTTTTTGTTGAATCTGCAAGTGGACATTTGGATAGTTTTGAAGATTTCGTTGGAAACGGGAATATCTTCATATCAAATCTAGACAGAAGCATTCTCAGAAACGTCTTTGTGATGTTTGCATTCAACTCATAGAGTTGAACATTCCATTTCAGAGAGCAGCTTTGAGGCACTCTTTTTGTAGTATGTGCAAGTGGATATTTGGAGTGCTCTGAGGCCTACGGTGAAAAAGCAAATATCTTCCCATAACCACTAGACAGAAACATTCTCAGAAACTCCTTTATGACGTATGCACTCACCTAACAGAGAAGAACCTTCCTTTTGACAGAGCAGTTTTGATACACTCTTTTTGTAGAATCTGCAAGTGGATATTTTGATACCTGTGAAGATTTCGTTGGAAACGGGAATATCTTCCTATAAAATGCTAGACAGAAGCATTCTCAGAAACTGCTCTGTGATGTCTGCATTCAAGTCACAGAGTTGAACATTGCTTTTCATAGAGCAGGTTTGAAACGCTCTTTTTGTAGTATATGGAAGTGGATGTTTCGGACGGTTGGAGGCCCATGGTGATAAAGGGAATATCTTCCCCTACAAGCTAGAAAGAAGCATTCTGTGAAACTTGTTTGTGATGTGTGTACTCAACTAAGAAGGTTGAACCTTTCTTTTTACAGAGCAGTTTTGAAACACTCTTTTTGTAGAATCTGCGAGGGGATATTTGGATAGATTTCAGGATTTCGTTGGAAACGGGAATATCTTCATATAAAATCTCGACAGAAGCATTCTCAGAAACTTCTTTGTGATATCTGCATTCAAGTCACAGAGTTGAATATTCCCTTTCACAGAGTAGGTTTGAAACACTCTTTTTGTAGTATCTGGAAGTGGACATTTGGAGCGCCTTGACACCTACGGTGAAAAGGGAAATATCTTCCCATAAAAACTAGACAGAAGCAATCTCAGAATCTTCTTTGGGATATATGCACGCAGCTAACAGAGTTGAACCTTTCTTATTGACAGAGCAGTTTTGAAACAGTCTTTCTGTGGAATCTGCAAGTGGATATTTGGATAGCTTGGAGGATTTCGTTGGAAACGGGATTACGTATAAAAAGTAGACAGCAGCATCCTCAGAAACTTCTTTGTGATGTGTGCATTCAAGTCACAGAGTTGAACATTCCCTTTCGTACAGCAGTTTTCAAACACTCTTTCTGTAGTAACTGGAAGTGAACATTAGGACAGCTTTCAGGTCTATGGTGAGAAAGGAAATATCTTCAAATAAAAACTAGACAAAAGCATTCTCATAAACTTGTTTGTGATGTGTGAACTCAGCTAACAGAGGTGGATCTTTCTTTTGATAGAGCAGTTCTGAAAAACACTTTTTGTTGAATCTGCAAGTGGACATTTGGATAGATTTGAAGATTTCGTTGGAAACTGGAATATCTTCATATCAAATTTTGACAGAAGCATTCTCAGAAACGTCTTTGGGATGTTTGCATTCAACTCATAGAGTTGAACATTCCGTTTCAGAGAGCAGCTTTGAGGCACACTTTTTGTAGTATGTGCAAGTGGATATTTGGAGCGCTCTGAGGCCTACGGTGAAAAAGCAAATATCTTCCCATAACCACTAGACAGAAACATTCTCAGAAACTCCTTTATGACGTATGCACTCACCTAACATAGAAGAACCTTCCTTTTGACAGAGCAGTTTTGATACACTCTTTTTGTAGAATCTGCAAGTGGATATTTGGATAGCTGTGAAGATTTCGTTGGAAACAGGAATATCTTCCTATAAAATCTAGACAGAAGCATTCTCAGAAACTGCTCTGTGATGTCTGCATTCAAGTCACAGAGTTGAACATTGCCTTTCATAGAGCAGGTTTGAAATGCTCTTTTTGTAGTATATGGAAGTGGACGTTTCAGACGGTTTGAGGCCCATGGTGATAAAGGGAATATCTTCCCCTACAAGCTAGAAAGAAGCATTCTGTGAAACTTGTTTGTGATGTGTGTACTCAACTAACAGAGTTGAACCTTTCTTTTTACAGAGCAGTTTTGAAACACTCTTTTTGTAGAATCTGCGAGGGCATATTTGGATAGATTTCAGGATTTCGTTGGAAAGGGGAATATCTTCATATAAAATCTCGACAGAAGCATTCTCAGAAACTTCTTTGTGATATCTGCCTTCAAGTCACAGAGTTGAATATTCCCTTTCACACAGTAGGTTTGAAACACTCTTTTTGTAGTATCTGGAAGTGGACATTTGGAGCGCCTTGACGCCTACGGTGAAAAGGGAAATATCTTCCCATAAAAACTAGACAGAAGCAATCTCAGAATTTTCTTTGGGATATATGCACACAGCTAACAGAGTTGAACTTTTCTATTGACATAGCAGTTTTGAAACAGTCTTTCTGTGGAATCTGCAAGTGGATATTTGGATAGCTTGGAGGATTTCGTTGGAAACAGGATTACGTATAAAAAGTAGACAGCAGCATCCTCAGAAACTTCTTTGTGATGTGTGCATTCAAGTCACAGAGTTGAACATTCCCTTTCGTACAGCAGTTTTGAAATACTCTTTCTGTAGTAACTGGAAGTGAACATTAGGACAGCTTTCAGGTCTATGGTGAGAAAGGAAATATCTTCAAATAAAAACTAGACAGAAGCATTCTCATAAACTTGTTTGTGATGTGTGAACTCAGCTAACAGAGGTGGATCTTTCCTTTGATAGAGCAGTTCTGAAAAACACTTTTTGTTGAATCTGCAAGTGGACATTTGGATAGATTTGAAGATTTCGTTGGAAACGGGAATATCTTCATATCAAATCTAGACAGAAGCATTCTCAGAAACGTCTTTGTGATGTTTGCATTCAACTCACAGAGTTGAACATTCCCTTTCAGAGCGCAGCTTTGAAGCACTCTTTTTGTAGTATGTGCAAGGGGATATTTGGAGCGCTCTGAGGCCTACGGTGAAAAAGCAAATATCTTCCCATAACCACTAGACAGAAACATTCTCAGAAACTCCTTTATGACGTATGTACTCAACTAACAGAGAAGAACCCTCTTTTTGACAGAGCAGTTTTGATACACTCTTTTTGTAGAATCTGCAAGTGGATATTTGGATAGCTGTGAAGATTTCGTTGGAAACGGGAATATCTTCCTATAAAATCTAGACAGAAGCATTCTCAGAAACTGCTCTGTGATGTCTGCATTCAAGTCACAGAGTTGAACATTGCCTTTCATAGAGCAGGTTTGAAACGCTCTTTTTGTACTATATGGAAGAGGACGTTTCGAACGGTTTGAGGACCATGGTGATAAAGGGAATATCTTCCCCTACAAGCTAGAAAGAAGCATTCTGTGAAACTTGTTTGTGATGTGTGTACTCAACTAACAGAGTTGAACCTTTCTTTTCACAGAGCAGTTTTGAAACACTCTTTTTGTAGAATCTGCGAGGGGATATTTGGATACATTTCAGGATTTCGTTGGAAACGGGAATATCTTCATATAAAATCTCGACAGAAGCATTCTCAGAAACTTCTTTGTGATATCTGCATTACAGTCACAGAGTTGAATATTCCCTTTCACAGAGGAGGTTTGAAACACTCTTTTTATACTATCTGGAATTGGACATTGGAGCGCCTTGACGCCTACGGTGAAAAGGGAAATATCTTCCCATAAAAACTAGACAGAAGCAATCTCAGAATCTTCTTTGGGATATATGCACGCAGCTAACATAGTTGAACCTTTCTATTGACAGAACAGTTTTGAAACAGTGTTTCTGTGGAATCTGCAAGTGGATATTTGGATAGCTTGGAGGATTTCGTTGGAAACGGGATTACGTATAAAAAGTAGACAGCAGCATCCTCAGAAACTTCTTTGTGATGTGTGCATTCAAGTCACAGAGTTGAACATTCCCTTTCGTACAGCAGTTTTGAAACACTCTTTCTGTAGTATCTGGAAGTGAACATTAGGACAGCTTTCACTCTATGGTGAGAAGGGAAATATCTTCAAATAAAAACTAGACAGAAGCATTCTCAAAAACTTGTTTGTGAAGTGTGAACTCAGGTAACAGAGGTGGATCTTTATTTTGATAGAGCAGTTCTGAAAAACACTTTTTGTTGAATCTGCAAGTGGACATTTGGATAGATTTGAAGATTTCGTTGGAAACGGGAATATCTTCATATCAAATCTAGACAGAAGCATTCTCAGTAAACGTCTTTGTGATGTTTGCATTCAACTCATAGAGTTGAACATTCCGTTTCAGAGAGCAGCTTTGAAGCACTCTTTTTGTAGTATGTTCAAGTGGATATTTGGAGCGCTCTGAGGCCTACGGTGAAAAAGCAAATATCTTCCCATAACCACTAGACAGAAACATTCTCAGAAACTCCTTTATGATGTATGCACTCACCTAACAGAGAAGAACCTTCCTTTTGACAGAGTAGTTTTGATACACTCTTTTTGTAGAATCTGCAAGTGGATATTTGGATAGCTGTGAAGATTTCGTTGGAAACAGGGAATATCTTCCTATAAAATCTAGACAGAAGCATTCTCAGAAACTGCTCTGTGATGTCTGCATTCAAGTCACAGAGTTGAACATTGCCTTTCATAGAGCAGGTTTGAAACGCTCTTTTTGTACTATATGGAAGTGGACGTTTCGGACGGTTTGAGGCCCATGGTGATAAAGGGAATATCTTCCCCTACAAGCTAGAAAGAAGCATTCTGTGAAACTTGTTTGTGAAGTGTGTACTCAACTAACAGAGTTGAACCTTTCTTTTTACAGAGCAGTTTTGAAACACTCTTTTTGTAGAATCTGCGAGGGGATATTTGGATAGATTTCAGGATTTCGTTGGAAACGGGAATATCTTCATATAAAATCTCGACAGAAGCATTCTCAGAAACTTCTTTGTGATATGTGCATTCAAGTCACAAAGTTGAATATTCCCTTTCACAGAGTAGGTTTGAAACACTCTTTTTGTAGTATCTGGAAGTGGACATTTGGAGCGCCTTGACGCCTACGGTGAAAAGGGAAATATCTTCCCATAAAAACTAGACAGAAGCAATCTCAGAATCTTCTTTGGGATATATGCACGCAGCTAACAGAGTTGAACCTTTCTATAGACACAGCAGTTTTGAAACAGTCTTTCTGTGGAATCTGCAAGTGGATATTTGGATAGATTGGAGGATTTCGTTGGAAACGGGATTACGTATAAAAAGTAGACAGCAGCATCCTCAGAAACTTCTTTGTGATGTGTGCATTCAAGTCACAGAGTTGAACATTCCCTTTCGTACAGCAGTTTTGAAACACTCTTTCTGTAGTATCTGGAAGTGAACATTAGGACAGCTTACAGGTCTATGGTGAGAAAGGGAATATCTTCAAATAAAAACTAGACAGAAGCATTCTCATAAACTTGTTTGTGATGTGTGAGCTCAGCTAACAGAGGTGGATCTTTCTTTTGATAGAGCAGTTCTGAAAAACACATTTTGTTGAATCTGCAAATGGACATTTGTATAGATTTGAAGATTTCGTTGGAAACGGGAATATCTTCATATCAAATCTAGACAGAGGCATTCTCAGAAACGTCTTTGTGATGTTTGCATTCAACTCATAGAGTTGAACATTCCCTTTCAGAGAGCAGCTTTGAAGCACTCTTTTTGTAGTATGTGCAAGGGGATATTTGGAGCGCTCTGAGGCCTAAGGTGAAAAAGCAAATATCTTCCCATAACCACTAGACAGAAACATTTTCAGAAACTCCTTTATGACGTATGTACTCAACTAACAGAGAAGAACCTTCCTTTTGACAGAGCAGTTTTGATACACTCTTTTTGTAGGATCTGCAAGTGGATATTTGGATAGCTGTGAAGATTTCGTTGGAAACGGGAATATCTTCCTATAAAATCTAGACAGAAGCATTCTCCGAAACTGCTCTGTGATGTCTGCATTCAAGTCACAGAGTTGAACATTGCCTTTCATAGAGCAGGTTTGAAACGCTCTTTTTGTAGTATATGGAAGTGGACATTTCGGACGGTTTGAGGCCCATGGTGATAAAGGGAATATCTTCCCCTACAAGCTAGAAAGAAACATTCTCAGAAACTCCTTTATGACGTATGCACTCACCTAACAGAGAAGAACCTACCTTTTGACAGAGCAGTTTTCATACACTCTTTTTGTAGAATCTGCGAGGGGATATTTGGAGAGATTTCAGGATTTCGTTGGAAACGGGAATATCTTCATATAAAATCTCGACAGAAGCATTCTCAGAAACTTCTTTGTGATATCTGCATTCAAGTCACAGAGTTGAATATTCCCTTTCACAGAGTAGGTTTGAAACACTCTTTTTGTAGTATCTGGAAGTGGACATTTGGAGCGACTTGACGCCTACGGTGAAAAGGGAAATATCTTCCCATAAAAACTAGACAG
Organism: Homo sapiens; assembly: GCF_000001405.40. NCBI lineage: Eukaryota > Metazoa > Chordata > Mammalia > Primates > Hominidae > Homo > Homo sapiens. The sequence continues at coordinate 17,354,476 of NC_000013.11, forward strand.
AAGCAATCTCAGAATCTTCCTTGGGATATCTGCACGCAGCTAACAGAGTTGAACCTTTCTATTGACAGAGCAGTTTTGAAACAGTCTTTCTGTGGAATCTGCAAGTGGATATTTGGATAGATTGGAGGATTTCGTTGGAAACGGGATTACGTATAAAAAGTAGACAGCAGCATCCTCAGAAACTTCTTTGTGATGTGTGCATTCAAGTCACAGAGTTGAACATTCCCTTTCGTACAGCAGTTTTGAAACACTCTTTCTGTAGTAACTGGAAGTGAACATTAGGACAGCTTTCAGCTCTATGGTGAGAAAGGAAATATCTTCAAATAAAAACTAGACAGAAGCATTCTCATAAACTTGTTTGTGATGTGTGAACTCAGCTAACAGAGGTGGATCTTTCTTTTGATAGAGCAGTTCTGAAAAACACTTTTTGTTGAATCTGCAAGTGGACATTCGGATAGATTTGAAGATTTCGTTGGAAACGGGAATATCTTCATATCAAATCTAGACAGAAGCATTCTCAGAAACGTCTTTGTGATGTTTGCATTCAACTCATAGAGTTGAACATTCCCTTTCAGAGAGAAGCTTTGAAGCACTCTTTTTGTAGCATGTGCAAGTGGACATTTGGAGCGCCCTGAGGCCTACGGGGAAAAAGCAAATATCTTCCCATAACCACTAGACAGAAACATTCTCAGAAACTCCTTTATGACGTATGCACTCACCTAACAGAGAAGAACCTTTCTTTTGACTGAGCAGTTTTGATACACTCTTTTTGTAGAATCTGCAAGTGGATATTTGGATAGCTGTGAAGATTTCGTTGGAAACGGGAATATCTTCCTATAAAATCTAGACAGAAGCATTCTCAGAAACTGCTCTGTGATGTCTGCATTCAAGTCACAGAGTTGAACATTGCCTTTCATAGAGCAGGTTTGAAACGCTCTTTTTGTAGTATATGGAAGTGGATGTTTCGGACGGTTGGAGGCCCATGGTGATAAAGGGAAAATCTTCCCCTACAAGCTAGAAAGAAGCATTCTGTGAAACTTGTTTGTGATGTGTGTACTCAACTAACAGAGTTGAACCTTTCTTTTTACAGAGCAGTTTTGAAACACTCTTTTTGTAGAATCTGCGAGGGGATATTTGGATAGATTTCAGGATTTCGTTGGAAACGGGAATATCTATCATATAAAATCTCGACAGAAGCATTCTCAGAAACTTCTTTGTGATATGTGCATTAAAGTCACAGAGTTGAATATTCGCTTTCACAGAGTAGGTTTGAAACACTCTTTTTGTAGTATCTGGAAGTGGACATTTGGAGCGCCTTGACGCCTACGGTGAAAAGGGAAATATCTTCCCATAAAAACTAGACAGAAGCAATCTCAGAATCTTCTTTGGGATATATGCACGCAGCTAACAGAGTTGAACCTTTCTATTGACAGAGCAGTTTTGAAACACTCTTTCTGTGGAATCTGCAAGTGGATACTTGGATAGCTTGGAGGATTTCATTGGAAACGGGATTACGTATAAAAAGTAGACAGCAGCATCCTCAGAAACTTCTTTGTGATGTGTGCATTGAAGTCACAGAGTTGAACATTCCCTTTCGTACAGCAGTTTTGAAACACTCTTTCTTTAGTATCTGGAAGTGAACAATAGGACAGCTTTCAGGTCTATGGTGAGAAAGGAAATATCTTCAAATAAAAACTAGACAGAAGCATTCTCATAAACTTGTTTGTGATGTGTGAACTCAGCTAACGGACGTGGATCTTTCTTTTGATACAGCAGTTTTGAAAAACACTTTTTGTTGAATCTGCAAGTGGACATTTGGATAGATATGAAGATTTCGTTGGAAACGGGAATATCTTCATATCAAATCTAGACAGAAGCATTCTCAGAAACGTCTTTGCGATGTTTGCATTCAACTCATAGAGTTGAACATTCCCTTTGAGAGAGCAGCTTTGAAGCACTCTTTTTGTAGCATGTGCAAGTGGACATGTGGAGCGCCCTGAGGCCTACGGGGAAAAAGCAAATATCTTCCCATAACCACTAGACAGAAACATTCTCAGAAACTCCTTTATGACGTATGCACTCACCTAACAGAGAAGAACCTTCCTTTTGACAGAGCAGTTTTGATACACTCTTTTTGTAGAATCTGCAAGTGGATATTTGGGATAGCTGTGAAGATTTCGTTGGAAACGGGAATATCTTCCTATAAAATCTAGACAGAAGCATTCTCAGAAACTGCTCTGTGATGTCTGCATTCAAGTCACAGAGTTGAACATTGCCTTTCATAGAGCAGGTTTGAAATGCTCTTTTTGTAGTATCTGGAAGTGGACGTTTCAGACGGTTTGAGGCCGATGGTGATAAAGGGAATATCTTCCCCTACAAGCTAGAAAGAAGCATTCTGTGAAACTTGTTTGTGATGTGTGTACTCAACTAACAGAGTTGACCCTTTCTTTTCACAGAGCAGTTTTGAAACACTCTTTTTGTAGAATCTGCGAGGGGATATTTGGATAGATTTCAGGATTTCGTTGGAAACGGGAATATCTTCATATAAAATCTCGACAGAAGCATTCTCAGAAACTTCTTTGTGATATGTGCATTCAAGTCACAGAGTTGAATATTCCCTTTCACAGAGTAGGTTTGAAACACTCTTTTTGTAGTATCTGGAAGTGGACATTTGGAGCGCCTTGACGCCTACGGTGAAAAGGGAAATATCTTCACATAAAAACTAGACAGAAGCAATCTCAGAATCTTCTTTGGGATATATGCACGCAGCTAACAGAGTTGAACCTTTCTATTGACAGAGTAGTTTTGAAACAGTCCTTCTGTGGAATCTGCAAGTGGATATTTGGATAGCTTGGAGGATTTCGTTGGAAACGGGATTACGTATAAAAAGTAGACAGCAGCATCCTCAGAAACTCCTTTGTGATGTGTGCATTCAAGTCACAGAGTTGAACATTCCCTTTCGTACAGCAGTTTTGAAACACTCTTTCTGTAGTATCTGGAAGTGAACATTAGGACAGCTTTCAGGTCTATGGTGAGAAAGGAAATATCTTCAAATAAAAACTAGACGGAAGCATTCTCATAAACTTGTTTGTGATGTGTGAACTCAGCTAAGAGACGTGGATCTTTCTTTTGATAGAGCAGTTCTGAAAAACACTTTTTGTTGAATCTGCAAGTGGACATTTGGATAGATTTGAAGATTTCTTTGGAAACGGGAATATCTTCATATCAAATCTAGACAGAAGCATTCTCAGAAACGTCTTTGCGATGTTTGCATTCAACTCATAGAGTTGAACATTCCCTTTCAGAGAGCAGCTTTGAGGCACTCTTTTTGTAGTATGTGCAAGTGGATATTTGGAGCGCTCTGAGGCCTACGGTGAAAATGCAAATATCTTCCCATAACCACTAGACAGAAACATTCTGAGAAACTCCTTTATGACGTATGCACTCACCTAACAGAGAAGAACCTTCCTTTTGACAGAGCAGTTTTGATACACTCTTTTTGTAGAATCTGCAAGTGGATATTTGGATAGCTGTGAAGATTTCGTTGGAAACGGGAATATCTTCCTATAAAATCTAGACAGAAGCATTCTCAGAAACTGCTCTGTGATGTCTGCATTCAAGTCACAGAGTTGAACATTGCCTTTCATAGAGCAGGTTTGAAACGCTCTTTTTGTAGTATATGGAAGTGGACTTTTCGGACGGTTTGAGGCCCATGGTGATAAAGGGAATATCTTCCCCTACAAGCTAGAAAGAAGAAGCATTCTGTGAAACTTGTTTGTGATGTGTGTACTCAACTAACAGAGTTGAACCTTTCTTTTCACAGAGCAGTTTTGAAACACTCTTTTTGTAGAATCTGCGAGGGGATATTTGGATAGATTTCAGGATTTCGTTGGAAACGGGAATATCTTCATACAAAATCTCGACAGAAGCATTCTCAGAAACTTCATTGTGATATCTGCATTCAAGTCACAGAGCGGAATATTCCCTTTCACAGAGTAGGTTTGAAACACTCTTTTTGTAGTATCTGGAAGTGGACATTTGGAGCGCCTTGACACCTATGGTGAAAAGGGAAATATCTTCCCGTAAAAACTAGACAGAAGCAATCTCAGAATCTTCTTTGGGATATATGCACGCAGCTAACAGAGTTGAACCTTTCTATTGACAGAGCAGTTTTGAAACAGTCTTTCTGTAGAATCTGCAAGTGGATATTTGGATAGCTTGGAGGATTTCGTTGGAAACGGGATTACGTATAAAAAGTAGACAGCAGCATCCTCAGAAACTTCTTTGTGATGTGTGCATTCAAGTCACAGAGTTGAACATTCCCTTTCGTACATCAGTTTTGAAACGCTCTTTCTGTAGTATCTGGAAGTGAACATTAGGACAGCTTTCAGGTCTATGGTGAGAAAGGAAATATCTTCAAATAAAAACTAGACAGAAGCATTCTCATAAACTTGTTTGTGATGTGTGAACTCAGCTAACAGACGTGGATCTTTCTTTTGATACAGCAGTTTTGAAAAACACTTTTTGTTGAAATCTGCAAGTGGACATTTGGATAGATTTGAAGATTTCGTTGGAAACGGGAATATCTTCATATCAAATCTAGACAGAAGCATTCTCAGAAACGTCTTTGTGATGTTTGCATTCAACTCATAGAGTTGAACATTCCCTTTCAGAGAGCAGCTTTGAAGCACTCTTTTTGTAGCATGTGCAAGTGGACATTTGGAGCGCCCTGAGGCATACGGGGAAAAAGCAAATATCTTCCCATAACCACTAGACAGAAACATTCTCAGAAACTCCTTTATGACGTATGCACTCACCTAACAGAAAAGAACCTTCCTTTTGACAGAGCAGTTTTGATACACTCTTTTTGTAGAATCTGAAAGTGGATATTTGGAGCGCTCTGAGGCCTACGGTGAAAAAGCAAATATCTTCCCATAACCACTAGACAGAAGCATTCTCAGAAACTGCTCTGTGATGTCTGCATTCAAGTCACACAGTTGAACATTGCCTTTCATGGAGCAGGTTTGAAACGCTCTTTTTGTAGTATATGGAAGTGGACGTTTCGGACGGTTTGAGGCCCATGGTGATAAAGGGAATATCTTCCCCTACAAGCTAGAAAGAAGCATTCTGTGAAACTTGTTTGTGATGTGTGTACTCAACTAACAGAGTTGAACCTTTCTTTTTACAGAGTAGTTTTGAAACACTCTTTTTGTAGAATCTGCGAGGGGATATTTGGAAACATTTCAGCATTTCGTTGGAAACGGGAATATCTTCATATAAAATCTCGACAGAAGCATTCTCAGAAACTTCCTTGTGATATGTGCATTCAAGTCACAGAGTTGAATATTCCCTTTCACAGAGTAGGTTTGAAACACTCTTTTTGTAGTATCTGGAAGTGGACATTTGGAGCGCCTTGACGCCTACGGTGAAAAGGGAAATATCTTCCCATAAAAACTAGACAGAAGCAATCTCAGAATCTTCTTTGGGATTTATGCACGCCGCTAACAGAGTTGAACCTTTCTATTGACAGAGCAGTTTTGAAACAGTCTTTCTGTGGAATCTGCAAGTGGATATTTGGATAGCTTGGAGGATTTCGTTGGAAACGGGATTACGTATAAAAAGTAGACAGCAGCATCCTCAGAAACTTCTTTGTGATGTGTGCATTCAAGTCACAGAGTTGAACATTCCCTTTCGTACAGCAGTTTTGAAACACTCTTTCTGTAGTATCTGGAAGTGAACATTAGGACAGCTTTCAGGTCTATGGTGAGAAAGGAAATATCTTCAAATAAAAACTAGACGGAAGCATTCTCATAAACTTGTTTGTGATGTGTGAACTCAGCTAACAGAGGTGGATCTTTCTTTTGATAGAGCAGTTCTGAAAAACACATTTTGTTGAATCTGCAAGTGGACATTTGGATAGATTTGAAGATTTCGTTGGAAACGGGAATATCTTCATATCAAATCTAGACAGAAGCATTCCCAGAAACGTCTTTGTGATGTTTGCATTCAACTCATAGAGTTGAACATTCCCTTTCAGAGAGCAGCTTTGAAGCACTCTTTTTGTAGGATTTGTAAAGGGATATTTGGAGCGCTCTGAGGCCTAAGGTGAAAAAGCAAATATCTTCCCATAACCACTAGACAGAAACATTCTCAGAAACTCGTTTATGACGTATGCACTCACCTAACAGAGAAGAACCTTCCATTTGACAGAGCAGTTTTGATACACTCTTTTTGTAGAATCTGCAAGTGGATATTTGGATAGCTGTGAAGATTTTGCTGGAAACGGGAATATCTTCCTATAAAATCTAGACAGAAGCATTCTCAGAAACTGCTCTGTGATGTCTGCATTCAAGTCACAGAGTTGAACATTGCCTTTCCTAGAGCAGGTTTGAAACGCTCTTTTTGTAGTATATGGAAGTAGACGTTTCGGACGGTTTGAGGCCCATGGTGATAAAGGGAATATCTTCCCCTACAAGCTAGAAAGAAGCATTCTGTGAAACTTGTTTGTGATGTGTGTACTCAACTAATAGAGTTGAACCATTCTTTTTACAGAGCAGTTTTGAAACACTCTTTTTGTAGAATCTGCGAGGGGATATTTGGATAGATTTCAGGATTTCGTTGGAAACGGGAATATCTTCATATAAAATCTCGACAGAAGCATTCTCCGAAACCTCTTTGTGATATATGCATTGAAGTTACAGAGTTGAATATTCCCTTTCACATAGCAGGTTTGAAACACTCTTTTTGTAGTATCTGGAAGTGGACATTGGGAGCGCTTTGACGTCTATGGTGAAAAAGGAAATATCTTCCCATAAAAACTACACAGAGGCAATCTCAGAATCTTCTTTGGGATGTATGCATGCAGCTAACAGAGTTGAACCTTTCTATTGACAGAGCAGTTTTGAAACAGTCTTTTTGTGGAATCTGCAAGTGGATATTTGGATAGCTTGGAGGATTTCATTGGAAACGGGATTACATATAAAAAGTAGACAGCAGCATCCTCAGAAACTTCTTTGTGATGTGTGCATTCAAGTCACAGAGTTGAACATTCCCTTTCGTACAGCAGTTTTGAAACACTCTTTCTGTAGTATCTGGAAGTGAACATTAGGACAGCTTTCAGCTCTATGGTGAGAAAGGAAATATCTTCAAATAAAAACTAGACAGGAAGCATTCTCATAAACTTGTTTGTGATGTCTGAACTCAGCTAACAGAGGTGGATCTTTCTTTTGATAGAGCAGTTCTGAAAAACACTTTTTGTTGAATCTGCAAGTGGACATTTGGATAGATTTGAAGATTTAGTTGGAAACGGGAATATCTTCATATCAAATCTAGACAGAAGCATTCTCAGAAACGTCTTTGCGATGTTTGCATTCAACTCATAGAGTTGAACATTCCGTTTCAGAGAGCAGCTTTGAGGCACTCTTTTTGTAGTATGTGCAAGTGGATATTTGGAGCGCTCTGAGGCCTACGGTGAAAAAGCAAATATCTTCCCATAACCACTAGACAGAAACATTCTCAGAAACTCCTTTATGACGTATGCACTCACCTAAGAGAGAAGAACCTTCCTTTTGACAGAGCAGTTTTGATACACTCTTTTTGTAGAATCTGCAAGTGGATATTTGGATAGCTGTGAAGATTTCGTTGGAAACGGGAATATCTTCCTATAAAATCTACACAGAAGCATTCTCAGTAACTGCTCTGTGATGTCTGCATTCAAGTCACAGAGTTGAACATTGCCTTTCATAGAGCAGGTTTGAAACGCTCTTTTTGTAGTATATGGAAGTGGATGTTTCGGACGGTTGGAGGCCCATGGTGATAAAGGGAATATCTTCCCCTACAAGCTAGAAAGAAGCATTCTGTGAAACTTGTTTGTGATGTGTGTACTCAAATAACAGAGTTGAACCTTTCTTTTTACAGAGCAGTTTTGAAACATTCTTTTTGTAGAATCTGCGAGGGGATATTTGGATAGATTTCAGGATTTCGTTGGAAACGGGAATATCTTCATATAAAATCTCGACAGAAGCATTCTCAGAAACTTCTTTGTGATATGTGCATTCGAGTCACAGAGTTGAATATTCCCTTTCACAGAGTAGGTTTGAAACACTCTTTTTGTAGTATCTGGAAGTGGACATTTGGAGCGCCTTGACACCTACGGTGAAAAGGGAAATATCTTCCCATAAAAACTAGACAGAAGCAATCTCAGAATCTTCTTTGGGATATATGCACGCAGCTAACAGAGTTAAACCTTTCTATTGACAGAGCAGTTTTGAAACAGTCTTTCTGTGGAATCTGCAAGTAGATATTTGGATAGCTTGGAGGATTTCGTTGGAAACGGGATTACAGATATAAAAAGCTAGACAGCAGCATCCACAGAAACTTCCTTGTAATGTGTGCATTCAAGTCACAGAGTTGAACATTCCCTTTCGTACAGCAGTTTTGAAACACTCTTTCTGAAGTATCTGGAAGTGAACTTTAGGAGAGCTTTCATGTCTATAGTGAGAAAGGCTATATCTTCAAATAAAAAATAGACAGAAGCATTTTCATAAACTTGTTTGTGATGTGTGAACTCAGCTAACAGAGGTGGATCTTTCTTTTGATAGAGCAGTTCTGAAAAACACTTTTTGTTGAATCTGCAAGTGGACATTTGGATAGATTTGAAGATTTCGTTGGAAACGGGAATATCTTCATATCAAATCTAGACAGAAGCATTCTCAGAAACGTCTTTGTGATGTTTGCATTCAACTCATAGAGTTGAACATTCCGTTACAGAGAGCAGCTTTGAGGCACTCTTTTTGTAGTATGTGCAAGTGGATATTTGGAGCGCTCTGAGGCCTACGGTGAAAAAGCAAATATCTTCCCATAACCACTAGACAGAAACATTCTCAGAAACTGCTTTATGAAGTATGCACTCACCTAACAGAGAAGAACCTTCCTTTTGACAGAGCAGTTTTGATACACTCTTTTTGTAGAATCTGCAAGTGGATATTTGGATAGCTGTGAAGATTTCGTTGGAAACGGGAATATCTTCCTATAAAATCTAGACAGAAGCATTCTCAGAAACTGCTCTGTGATGTCTGCATTCAAGTCACAGAGTTGAACATTGCCTTTCCTAGAGCAGGTTTGAAACGCTCTTTTTGTAGTATATGGAAGTGGACGTTTCGGACGGTTTTAGGTCCATGGTGATAAAGGGAATATCTTCCCCTACAAGCTAGAAAGAAGCATTCTGTGAAACTTGTTTGTGATGTGTGTACTCAACTAAGAGGGTTGAACCTTTCTTTTTACAGAGCAGTTTTGAAACACTCTTTTTGTAGAATCTGCGAGGGGATATTTGGATAGATTTCAGGATTTCGTTGGAAACGGGAATATCTTCATATAAAATCTCGACAGAAGCATTCTCAGAAACTTCTTTGTGATATGTGCATTCAAGTCACAGAGTTGAATATTCCCTTTCACAGAGTAGGTTTCAAACACTCTTTTTGTAGTATCTGGAAGTGGAAATTTGGAGCGCCTCGACGCCTACGGTGAAAAGGGAAATATCTTCCCATAAAAACTAGACAGAAGGAATCTCAGAATCTGCTTTGGGATATATGCACGCAGCTAACAGAGTTGAACCTTTCTATTGACAGAGCAGTTTTGAAACAGTCTTTCTGTGGAATCTGCAAGTGGATATTTAGATAGCTTGGAGGATTTCGTTGGTAACGGGATTACGTATAAAAATTAGACAGCAGCATCCTCAGAAACTTCTTTGTGATGTGTGCATTCAAGTCACAGAGTTGAACATTCCCTTTCGTACAGCAGTTTTGAACCACTCTTTCTGTAGTATCTGGAAGTGAACATTAGGAAAGCTTTCAGGTCTATGGTGAGAAAGGAAATATCTTCAAATAAAAACTAGACAGAAGCATTCTCATTAACTTGTTTGTGATGTGTGAACTCAGCTAACAGAGGTGGATCTTTCTTTTGATAGAGCAGTTCTGAAAAACATTTTTTGTTGAATCTGCAGGTGGACATTTGGATAGATTTGAAGATTTCGTTGGAAACGGGAATATCTTCATATCAAATCTAGACAGAAGCATTCTCAGAAACGTCTTTGTGATGTTTGCATTCAACTCATAGAGTTGAACATTCCCTTTCAGAGAGCAGCTTTGAAGCACTCTTTTTGTAGCATGTGCAAGTGGACATTTGGAGGGCCCTGAGGCCTACGGGGAAAAAGCAAATATCTTCCCATAACCACTAGACAGAAACATTCTCAGAAACTCCTTTATGACGTATGCACTCACCTAACAGAGAAGAACCTTCCTTTTGACAGAGCAGTTTCGATACACTCTTTTTGTAGAATCTGCAAGTGGATATTTGGATAGCTGTGAAGATTTCGTTGGAAACGGGAATATCTTCCTATAAAATCTAGACAGAAAGCATTCTCAGAAACTGCTCTGTGATGTCTGCATTCAAGTCACAGAGTTGAACATTGCCTTTCATAGAGCAGGTTTGAAACGCTCTTTTTGTAGTATATGGAAGTGGATGTTTCGGACGGTTTGAGGCCCATGGTGATAAAGGGAATATCTTCCCCTACAAGCTAGAAAGAAGCATTCTGTGAAACTTGTTTGTGATGTGTGTACTCAACTAACAGAGTTGAACCTTTCTTTTTACAGAGCAGTTTTGAAACACTCTTTTTGTAGAATCTGCAAGGGGATATTTGGATAGATTTCAGGATTTCGTTGGAAACGGGAATATCTTCATATAAAATCTCGACAGAAGCATTCTCAGAAGCTTCGTTGTGATATGTGCATTCAAGTCACAGAGTTGAATATTCCCTTTCACAGAGTAGGTTTGAAACACACTTTTTGTAGTATCTGGAAGTGGACATTTGGAGCGCCTTGATGCCTACGGTGAAAAGGGAAATATCTTCTCATAAAAAGTAGACAGAAGCAATCTCAGAATCTTCTTTGGGATATATGCACGCAGCTAACAGAGTTGAACCTTTCTATTGACAGAGCAGTTTTGAAACAGTCTTTCTGTGGAATCTGCAAGTGGATATTTGGATAGCTTGGAGGTTTTCTTTAGAAACGGGATTACGTATAAAAAGTAGACTGCAGCCTCCTCAGAAACTTCTTTGTGATGTGTGTATTCAAGTCACAGAGTTGAACATTCCCTTTCGTACAGCAGTTTTGAAACACTCTTTCTGTAGTATCTGGAAGTGAACATTAGGACAGCTTTCAGGTCTATGGTGAGAAAGGAAATATCTTCAAATAAAAACTAGACAGAAGCATTCTGATAAACTTGTTTGTGAAGTGTGAACTCAGCTAACAGAGTTGGATCTTTCTTTCGACACAGCAGTTTTGAAAAACACTTTTTGTTGAATCTGCAAGTAGACATTTGGATAGATTTGAAGATTTCGTTGAAAACGGGAATATGTTCATTTCAAATCTAGACAGAAGCATTCTCAGAAACGTCTTTGTGATGTTTGCATTCAACTCATAGAGTTGAACATTCCCTTTCAGAGAGCAGCTTTGAAGCACTGTTTTTGTAGTATGTGCAAGTGGACATTTGGAGCGCTTTGAGCCCTACGGGGAAAAAGCAAATATCTTCCCGTAACCACTAGACAGAAACATTCTCAGAAACTCCTTTATGATGTATGCACTCACCTAACAGAGAAGAACCTTCCTTTTGACAGAGCAGTTTTGATACACTCTTTTTGTAGAATCTGCAAGTGGATATTTGGATAGCTGTGAAGATTTCGTTGGAAACAGGGAATATCTTCCTATAAAATCTAGACAGAAGCATTCTCAGAAACTGCTCTGTGATGTCTGTATTCAAGTCACAGAGTTGAACATTGCCTTTCATAGAGCAGGTTTGAAACGCTCTTTGTGTAGTATATGGAAGTGGATGTTTCGGACGGTTGGAGGCCCATGGTGATAAAGGGAATATCTTCCCCTACAAGCTAGAAAGAAGCATTCTGTGAAACTTGTTTGTGATGTGTGTACTCAACTAACAGAGTTGAACCTTTCTTTTTACAGAGCAGTTTTGAAACACTATTTTTGTAGAATCTGCGAGGGGATATTTGGATAGATTTCAGGATTTCTTTGGAAACGGGAATATCTTCATATAAAATCTCGACAGAAGCATTCTCAGAAGCTTCTTTGTGATATGTGCATTCAAGTCACAGAGTTCAATATTCCCTTTCACAGAGTAGGTTTGAAACACTCTTTTTGTAGTATCTGGAAGTGGACATTTGGAGCGCCTTGACGCCTACGGTGAAAAGGGAAATATCTTCTCATAAAAAGTAGACAGAAGCAATCTCAGAATCTTCTTTGGGATATATGCACGCTGCTAACAGAGTTGAACCTTTCTATTGACAGAGCAGTTTTGAAACAGTCTTTCTGTGGAATCTGCAAGTGGATATTTGGATAGCTTGGAGGATTTCGTTGGAAACGGGATTACGTATAAAAATTAGACAGCAGCATCCTCAGAAACTTCTTTGTGATGTGTGCATTCAAGTCACAGAGTTGAACATTCCCTTTCGTACAGCAGTTATGAAACACTCTTTCTGTAGTATCTGGAAGTGAACATTAGGACAGCTTTCAGGTCTATGGTGAGAAAGGAAATATCTTCAAATAAAAACTAGACAGAAGCATTCTCATAAACTTGTTTGTGATGTGTGAACTCAGCTAACAGAGGTGGATCTTTCTTTTGATAGAGCAGTTCTGAAAAACACGTTTTGTTGAATCTGCAAGTGGACATTTGGATAGATTTGAAGATTTCGTTGGAAACGGGAATATCGTCATATCAAATCTAGAAAGAAGCATTCTCAGAAACGTCTTTGTGATGTTTGCATTCAACTCATAGAGTTGAACATTCCGTTTCAGAGACCAGCTTTGAAGCACTCTTTTTGTAGTATGTGCAAGTGGATATTTGGAGCGCTCTGAGGCCTACGGTGAAAAAGCAAATATCTTCCCATAACCACTAGACAGAAACATTCTCAGAAACTCCTTTATGAAGTATGTACTCAACTAACAGAGAAGAACCTTCCTTTTGACAGAGCAGTTTTGATACACTCTTTTTGCAGAATCTGCAAGTGGATATTTGGATAGCTGTGAAGATTTCGTTGGAAACGGGAATATCTTCCTATAAAATCTAGACAGAAGCATTCTCAGAAACTGCTCTGTGATGTCTGCATTCAACTCACAGAGTTGAACATTGCCTTTCATAGAGCAGGTTTGAAACACTCTTTTTGTAGCATATGGAAGTGGACGTTTCGGACGGTTTGAGGCCCATGGTGATAAAGGGAATATCTTCCCCTACAAGCTAGAAAGAAGCATTCTGTGAAACTTGTTTGTGATGTGTGTACTCAACTAACAGAGTTGAACCTTTCTTTTTACAGAGCAGTTTTGAAACACTCTTTTTGTAGAATCTGCGAGGGGATATTTGGATAGATTTCAGGATTTCGTTGGAAAGGGGAATATCTTCATATAAAATCTCGACAGAAGCATTCTCAGAAACTTCTTTGTGATATCTGCATTCAAGTCACAGAGTTGAATATTCCCTTTCACAGAGTAGGTTTGAAACACTCTTTTTGTAGTGTCTGGAAGTGGGCATTTGGAGCGCTTTGACGCCTACGGTGAAAAGGGAAATATCTTCCCATAAAAACTAGACAGAAGCAATCTCAGAATCTTCTTTGGGATATATGCACGCAGCTAACAGAGTTGAACCTTTCTATTGGCAGAGCAGTTTTGAAACAGTCTTTCTGTGGAATCTGCAAGTGGATATTTGGATAGCTTGGAGGATTTCGTTGGAAACGGGATTAAGTATAAAAAGTAGACAGCAGCATCCTCAGAAACTTCTTTGTGATGTGTGCATTCAAGTCACAGAGTTGAACATTCCCTTTCGTACAGCAGTTTTGAAACACTCTTTCTGTAGTAACTGGAAGTGAACTTTAGGACAGCTTTCAGGTCTATGGTGAGAAAGGAAATATCTTCAAATAAAAACTAGACAGAAGCATTCTCATAAACTTGTTTGTGATGTGTTAACTCAGCTAACAGAGGTGGATCTTTCTTTTGATAGAGCAGTTCTGAAAAACACTTTTTGTTGAATCTGCAAGTGGACATTTGGATAGATTTGAAGATTTCTTTGGAAACGGGAATACCTTCATATCAAATCTAGACAGAAGCATTCTCAGAAACGTCTTTGTGATGTTTGCATTCAACTCATAGAGTTGAACATTCCGTTTCAGAGAGCAGCTTTGAGGCACTCTTTTTGTAGTATGTGCAAGTGGATATTTGGAGCGCCTCTGAGGCCTACGGTGAAAAAGCAAATATCTTCCCATAACCACTAGACAGAAACATTCTCAGAAACTCCTTTATGACGTATGCACTCACCTAACAGAGAAGAACCTTCCTTTTGAAAGAGCAGTTTTGATACACTCTTTTTGTAGAATCTGCAAGTGGATACTTGGATAGCTGTGAAGATTTCGTTGGAAACGGGAATATCTTCCTATAAAATCTAGACAGAAGCATTCTCAGAAACTGCTCTGTGATGTCTGCATTCAAGTCACAGAGTTGAACATTGCCTTTCATAGAGCAGGTTTGAAACGCTCTTTTTGTAGTATATGGAAGTGGACTTATCGGACGGTTTGAGGCCCATGGTGATAAAGGGAATATCTTCCCCTACAAGCTAGAAAGAAGCATTCTGTGAAACTTGTTTGTGATGTGTGTACTCAACTAACAGAGTTGAACCTTTCTTTTTAAAGAGCAGTTTTGAAACACTCTTTTTGTAGAATCTGCGAGGGGATATTTGGATAGATTTCAGCATTTCGTTGGAAACGGGAATATCTTCATATAAAATCTCGACAGAAGCATTCTCAGAAACTTCTTTGTGATATGTGCATTCAAGTCACAGAGTTGAATATTCCCTTTCACAGAGTAGGTTTGAAACACTCTTTTTGTAGTATCTGGAAGTGGACATTTGGAGCGCCTTGACGCCTACGGTGAAAAGGGAAATATCTTCCCATAAAAACTAGACAGAAGCAATCTCAGAATCTTCTTTGGGATATATGCACGCAGCTAACAGAGTTGAACCTTTCTATTGACAGAGCAGTTTTGAAACAGTCTTTCTGTGGAATCTGCAAGTGGATATTTGGATAGCTAGGAGGATTTCTTTGGAAACGAGATTACGTATAAAAAGTAGACAGCAGCATCCTCAGAAACTTCTTTGTGATGTGTGCATTCAAGTCACAGAGTTGAACATTCCCTTTCGTACAACAGTTTTGAAACACTCTTTCTGCAGTATCTGGAAGTGAACATTAGGACAGCTTTCAGGTCTATGGTGAGAAAGGAAATATCTTCAAATAAAAACTAGACAGAAGCATTCTCATAAACTTGTTTGTGATGTGTGAACTCAGCTAACACACGTGGATCTTTCTTTTGATAGAGCAGTTCTGAAAAACAATTTTTGTTGAATCTGCAAGTGGACATTTGGATAGATTTGAAGATTTCCTTGGAAACGGGAATATCTTCATATCAAATCTAGACAGAAGCATTCTCAGAAACGTCTTTGCGATGTTTGCATTCAACTCATAGAGTTGAACATTCCGTTTCAGAGAACAGCTTTGAGGCACTCTTTTTGTAGTATGTGCAAGTGGATATTTGGAGCGCTCTGAGGCCTACGGTGAAAAAGCAAATATCTTCCCATAACCACTAGACAGAAACATTCTCAGAAACTCCTTTATGACGTATGCACTCACCTAACAGAGAAGAACCTTTCTTTTGACAGAGCAGTTTTGATACACTCTTTTTGTAGAATCTGCAAGTGGATATTTGGATAGCTGTGAAGATTTCGTTGGAAACGGGAATATCTTCCTATAAAATCTAGACAGAAGCATTCTCAGAAACTGCTCTGTGATGTCTGCATTCAAGTCACAGAGTTGAACATTGCCTTTCATAGAGCAGGTTTGAAACGCTCTTTTTGTAGTATATGGAAGTGGATGTTTCGGACGGTTGGAGGCCCATGGTGATAAAGGGAATATCTTCCGCTACAAGCTAGAAAGAAGCATTGTGTGAAACTTGTTTGTGATGTGTGTACTCAACTAACAGAGTTGAACGTTTGTTTTTACAGAGCAGTTTTGAAACACTCTTTGTGTAGAATCTGCGAGGGGATATTTGGATACATTTCAGGATTTCGTTGGAAACGGGAATATCTTCATATAAAATCTCGACAGAAGCATTCTCAGAAGCTTCTTTGTGATATGTGCATTCAAGTCACAGAGTTGAATATTCCCTTTCACAGAGTAGGTTTGAAGCACTCTTTTTGTAGTATCTGGAAGTGGACATTTGGAGCGCCTTGACGCCTACGGTGAAAAGGGAAATATCTTCTCATAAAAAGTAGACAGAAGCAATCTCAGAATCTTCTTTGGGATATATGCACGCAGCTAACAGAGTTGAACCTTTCTATTGACATAGCAGTTTTGAAACAGTCTTTCTGTGGAATCTGCAAGTGGATATTTGGATAGCTTGGAGGATTTCGTTGGAAACGGGATTACGTATAAAAAGTACACAGCAGCATCCTCAGAAACTTCCTTGTGATGTGTGCATTCAAGTCACAGAGTTGAACATTCCCTTTCGTACAGCAGTTTTGAAACACTCTTTCTGTAGTATCTGGAAGTGAACATTAGGACAGCTTTCAGGTCTATGGTGAGAAAGGAAATATCTTCAAATAAAAACTAGACAGAAGCATTCTCATAAACTTGTTTGTGATGTGTGAACTGAGCTAACAGAGGTGGATCTTTCTTTTGATAGAGCAGTTCTGAAAAACACTTTTTGTTGAATCTGCAAGTGGACATTTGGATAGATTTGAAGATTTCGTTGGAAACGGGAATATCTTCATATCAAATCTAGACAGAAGCATTCTCAGAAACGTCTTTGTGATGTTTGCATTCAACTCATAGAGTTGAACATTCCCTTTCAGAGAGCGGCTTTGAAGCACTCTTTTTGTAGCATGTGCAAGTGGACATTTGGAGGGCCCTGAGGCCTACGGGGAAAAAGCAAATATCTTCCCATAACCACTAGACAGAAACATTCTCAGAAACTCCTTTAAACGTATGCACACACCTAACAGAGAAGAACCTTCCTTTTGACAGAGCAGTTTTGATACACTCTTTTTGTAGAATCTGCAAGTGGATATTTGGATAGCTGTGAAGATTTCGTTGGAAACGGGAATATCTTCCTATAAAATCTAGACAGAAGCATTCTCAGAAAGTGCTCTGTGATGTCTGCATTCAAGTCACAGAGTTGAACATTGCCTTTCATAGAGCAGGTTTGAAACACTCTTTTTGTAGTATATGGAAGTGGACGTTTCGGACGGTTTGAGGCCCATGGTGATAAAGGGAATATCTTCCCCTACAAGCTAGAAAGAAGCATTCTGTGAAACTTGTTTGTGATGTGTGTACTCAACTAACAGACTTGAACCTTTCTTTTTACAGAGCAGTATTGAAACACTCTTTTTGAAGAATCTGCGAGGGGATATTTGGATAGATTTCAGGATTTCGTTGGAAACGGGAATATCTTCATATAAAATCTCGACAGAAGCATTCTCAGAAACTTCCTTGTGATATGTGCATTCAAGTCACAGAGTTGAATATTTCCTTTCACAGAGTAGGTTTGAAACACTCTTTTTGTAGTATCTGGAAGTGGACATTTGGAGCGCCTTGACGCCTACGGTGAAAAGGGAAATATCTTCCCATAAAAACTAGACAGAAGCAATTTCAGAATCTTCTTTGGGATATATGTACGCAGCTAATAGAGTTGAACCTTTCTATTGACAGAGCAGTTTTGAAACAGTCTTTCTGTGGAATCTGCAAGTGGATATTTGGATAGCTTGGAGGATTTCGTTGGAAACGGGATTACGTATAAAAAGTAGACAGCAGCATCCTCAGAAACTTCTTTGTGATGTGTGCATTCAAGTCACAGAGTTGAACATTCCCTTTCATACAGCAGTTTTGAAACACTCTTTCTGTAGTATCTGGAAGTGAACTTTAAGAGAGCTTTCAGGTATATAGTGAGAAAGGATATATCTTCAAATAAAAACTAGACAGAAGCATTCTCATAAACTTGTTCGTGATGTGTGAACTCAGCTAACACACGTGGATCTTTCTTTTGATAGAGCAGTTCTGAAAAACCCTTTTTGTTGAATCTGCAAGAGGACATTTGGATAGATTTGAAGATTTCGTTGGAAACGGGAATATCTTCATATCAAATCTAGACAGAAGCATTCTCAGAAACGTCTTTGTGATGTTTCAATTAAACTCATGGAGTTGAACATTCCCTTTCAGAGAGTAGCTTTGAAGCACTCTTTTTGTAGTATGTGCAAGTAGATATTTGGAGCGCTCTGAGGCCTACGGGGAAAAAGCAAATATCTTCCCATAACCACTAGACAGAAACATTCTCAGAAACTCCTTTATGACGTATGCACTCACCTAACAGAGAAGAACCTTCCTTTTGACAGAGCACTTTTGATACACTCTTTTTGTAGAATCTGAAAGTGGATATTTGGATAGCTGTGAAGATTTCGTTGGAAACGGGAATATCTTCCTATAAAATCTAGACAGAAGCATTCTCAGAAACTGCTCTGTGATGTCTGCATTCAAGTCACAGAGTTGAACATTGCCTTTCATAGAGCAGGTTTGAAACGCTCTTTTTGTAGTATATGGAAGTGGACTTTTCGGACGGTTTGAGGCCCATGGTGATAAAGGGAATATCTTCCCCTACAAAGCTAGAAAGAAGCATTCTGTGAAACTTGTTTGTGATGTGTGTACTCAACTAACAGAGTTGAACCTTTCTTTTTACAGAGCAGTTTTGAAATACTCTTTTTGTAGAATCTGCGAGGGGATATTTGGATAGATTTCAGGATTTCGTTGGAAACGGGAATATCTTAATATAAAATCTCGACAGAAGCATTCTCAGAAACTGCTCTGTGATGTCTGCATTCAAGTCACAGAGTTGAATATTCCCTTTCACAGAGTAGGTTTGAAACACTCTTTTTGTAGTATCTGGAAGTGGACATTTTGAGCGCCTTGACACCTATGGTGAAAAGGGAAATATCTTCCCATAAAAACTAGACAGAAACAATCTCAGAATCTTCTTTGGGATATATGCACGCAGCTAACAGAGTTGAACCTTTCTATTGACAGAGCAGTTTTGAAACAGTCTTTCTGTGGAATCTGCAAGTGGATATTTGGATAGCTTGGAGGATTTCGTTGGAAACGGGATTAGGTATAAAAAGTAGACAGCAGCATCCTCAGAAACTTCTTTGTGATGTGTGCATTCAAGTCACAGAGTTGAATATTCCTTTTCGTACAGCAGTTTTGAAAAACTCTTTCTGTAGTATCTGGAAGTGAACATTAGGACAGCATTCAGGTCTATGGTGAGAAAGGAAATATCTTCAAATAAAAACTACACAGAAGCATTCTCATAAACTTGTTTGTGATGTGTGAACTCAGCTAACAGAGGTGGATCTTTCTTTTGATAGAGCAGTTCTGAAAAACACTTTTTGTTGAATCTGCAAGTGGACCTTTGGATAGATTTGAAGATTTCGTTGGAAACGGGAATATCTTCATATCAAATCTAGACAGAAGCATTCTCAGAAACGTCTTTGTGATGTTTGCATTCAACTCATAGAGTTGAACATTCCCTTTCAGAGAGCAGCTTTGAAGCACTCTTTTTGTAGTATGTGCAAGTGGATATTTGGAGCGCTCTGAGGCCTACGGTGAAAAAGCAAATATCTTCCCATAACCACTAGACAGAAACATTCTCAGAAACTCCTTTATGACGTATGCACTCACCTAACAGTAGAAGAACCTTCCTTTTGACAGAGCAGTTTTGATACACTCTTTTTGTAGAATCTGCAAGTGGATATTTGGATAGCTGTGAAGATTTCGTTGGAAACGGGAATATCTTCCTATAAAATCTAGACAGAAGCATTCTCAGAAACTGCTCTGTGATGTCTGCATTCAAGTCACAGAGTTGAACATTGCCTTTCATAGAGCAGGTTTGAAACGCTCTTTTTGTAGTATATGGAAGTGGAAGTTTCGGTCGGTTTGAGGCCCATGGTGATAAAGGGAATATCTTCCCCTACAAGCTAGAAAGAAGCATTGTGTGAAACTTGTTTGTGATGTGTGTACTCAACTAACAGAGTTGAACCTTTCTTTTTACAGAGCAGTTTTGAAACACTCTTTTTGTAGAATCTGCGAGGGGATATTTGGATACATTTCAGGATTTCCTTGGAAACGGGAATATCTTCATATAAAATGTCGACAGAAGCATTCTCAGAAACTTCATTGTGATATCTGCATTCAAGTCACACAGTTGAATATTCCCTTTCACAGAGTAGGTTTGAAACACTCTTTTTGTAGTATCTGTAAGTGGACATTTGGAGCGCCTTGACACCTACGGTGAAAAGGGAAATATCTTCCCATAAAAACTAGACAGAAGCAATCTCAGAATCTTCTTTGGGATATATGCACGCAGCTAACAGAGTTGAACCTTTCTATTGACAGAGCAGTTTTGAAACAGTCTTTCTGTGGAATCTGCAAGTGGATATTTGGATAGCTTGGAGGATTTCGTTGGAAACGGGATTACGTATAAAAAGTAGCCAGCAGCATCCTCAGAAACTTCTTTGTGATGTGTGCATTCAAGTCACAGAGTTGAACATTCCCTTTCGTACAGCAGTTTTGAAACACTCTTTCTGTAGTATCTGGAAGTGAACATTAGGACAGCTTTCAGGTCTATGGTGAGAAAGGAAATATCTTCAAATAAAAACTGGACAGAAGCATTCTGATAAACTTGTTTGTGAAGTGTGAACTCAGCTAACAGAGGTGGATCTTTCCTTTGATAGAGCAATTCTGAAAAACACTTTGTTGAATCTGCAAGTGGACATTTGGATAGATTTGAAGATTTCGTTGGAAACGGGAATATCTTCATATCAAATCTAGACAGAAGCATTCTCAGAAACGTCTTTGCGATGTTTGCATTCAACTCATAGAGTTGAACATTCCGTTTCAGAGAGCAGCTTTGAGGCACTCTTTTTGTAGTATGTGCAAGTGGATATTTGGAGCGCTCTGAGGCCTTCGGTGAAAAAGCAAATATCTTCCCATAACCACTAGACAGAAACATTCTCAGAAACTCCTTTATGACGTATGCACTCACCTAAAAGAGAAGAACCTTCCTTTTGACAGAGCAGTTTTGATACACTCTTTTTGTAGAATCTGCAAGTGGATATTTGGATAGCTGTGAAGATTTCGTTGGAAACGGGAATATCTTCCTATAAAATCTAGACAGAAGCATTCTCAGAAACTGCTCTGTGATGTCTGCATTCAAGTCACAGAGTTGAACATTGTCTTTCATAGAGCAGGTTTGAAGCGTTCTTTTTGTACTATATGGAAGTGGACGTTTCGGACGGTTTGAGGCCCATGGTGATAAAGGGAATATCTTCCCCTACAAGCTAGAAAGAAGCATTCTGTGAAACTTGTTTGTGATGTGTGTACTCAACTAACAGAGTTGAACCTTTCTTTTTACAGAGCAGTTTTGAAACACTCTTTTTGTAGAATCTGCGAGGGGATATTTGGATAGATTTCAGGATTTCGTTGGAAAGGGGATTATCTTCATATAAAATCTCGACAGAAGCATTCTCAGAAGCTTCTTTGTGATATGTGCATTCAAGTCACAGAGTTGAATATTCCCTTTCACAGAGTAGGTTTGAAACACTCTTTTTGTAGTATCTGGAAGTGGACATTTGGAGCGCCTTGACGCCTACGGTGAAAAGGGAAATATCTTCTCATAAAAAGTAGACAGAAGCAATCTCAGAATCTTCTTTGGGATATATGCACGCAGCTAACAGAGTTGAACCTTTCTATTGACAGAGCAGTTTTGAAACAGTCTTTCTGTGGAATCTGCAAGTGGATATTTGGATAGCTTGGAGGATTTCGTTGGAAACGGGATTACGTATAAAAAGAAGACAGCAGCATCCTCAGAAACATCTTTGTGATGTGGGCATTCAAGTCACAAAGTTGAACATTCCCTTTCGTACAGCAGTTTTGAAACACTCTTTCTGTAGTATCTGGAAGTGAACATTAGGACAGCTTTCAGGTCTATGGTGAGAAAGGAAATATCTTCAAATAAAAACTAGACAGAAGCATTCTCATAAACTTGTTTGTGATGTGTGAACTCAGCTAACAGAGGTGGATCTTTCTTTTGATAGAGCAGTTCTGAAAAACACTTTTTGTTGAATCTGCAAGTGGACATTTGGATAGATTTGAAGATTTCGTTGGAAACGGGAATATCTTCATATCAAATGCTAGACAGAAGCATTCTCAGAAACGTCTCTGTGATGTTTGCATTCAACTCATAGAGTTGAACATTCCGTTTCAGAGAGCAGCTTTGAGGCACTCTTTTTGTAGTATGTGCAAGTGGATATTTGGAGCGCTCTGAGGCCTACGGTGAAAAAGCAAATATCTTCCCATAACCACTAGACAGAAACATTCTCAGAAACTCCTTTATGACGTATGCACTCACCTAACAGAGAAGAACCTTCCTTTTGACAGAGCAGTTTTGATACACTCTTTTTGTAGAATCTGCAAGTGGATATTTGGATAGCTGTGAAGATTTCGTTGGAAACGGGAATATCTTCCTATAAAATCTACACAGAAGCATTCTCAGGAACTGCTCTGTGATGTCTGCATTCAAGTCACAGAGTTGAACATTGCCTTTCCTAGAGCAGGTTTGAAACGCTCTTTTTGTAGTATATGGAAGTGGACGTTTCGGACGTTTTGAGGCCCATGGTGATGAAGGGAATATCATCCCCTACAAGCTAGAAAGAAGCATTCTGTGAAACTTGTTTGTGATGTGTGTACTCAACTAACAGAGTTGAACCTTTCTTTTTACAGAGCAGTTTTGAAACACTCTTCTTGTAGAATCTGCGAGGGGATATTTGGATAGATTTCAGGATTTTGTTGGAAACGGGAATATCTTAATATAAAATTCTCGACAGAAGCATTCTCAGAAACTTCTTTGTGATATGTGCATTCAAGTCACAGAGTTGAATATTCCCTTTCACCGAGTAGGTTTGAAACACTCTTTTTGTAGTATCTGGAAGTGGACATTTGGAGCGCCTTGACACCTACGGTGAAAAGGGAAATATCTTCCCATAAAAACTAGACAGAAGCAATCTCAGAATCTTCTTTGGGATATATGTACGCAGCTAATAGAGTTGAACCTTTCTATTGACAGAGCAGTTTTGAAACAGTCTTTCTGTGGAATCTGCAAGTGGATATTTGGATAGCTTGGAGGATTTCGTTGGAAACGGGATTACGTATAAAAAGTAGACAGCAGCATCCTCAGAAACATCCTTGTGATGTGTGCATTCCAGTCACAGAGTTGAACATTCCCGTTCGTACAGCAGTTTTGAAACACTCTTTCTGTAGTATCTGGAAGTGAACTTTAGGAGAGCTTTCAGGTCTATAGTGAGAAAGGATATATCTTCAAATAAAAACTAGACAGAAGCATTCTCATTAACTTGTTTGTGATGTGTGAACTCAGCTAACAGAGGTGGATCTTTCTTTTGATAGAGCAGTTCTGAAAAACATTTTTTGTTGAATCTGCAAGTGGACATTTGGATAGATTTGAAGATTTCGTTGGAAACGGGAATATCTTCATATCAAATCTAGACAGAAGCATTCTCAGAAACGTCTTTGTGATGTTTGCATTCAACTCATAGAGTTGAACATTCCCTTTCAGAGAGCAGCTTTGAAGCACTCTTTTTGTAGCATGTGCAAGTGGACATTTGGAGGGCCCTGAGGCATACGGGGAAAAAGCAAATATCTTCCCATAACCACTAGACAGAAACATTCTCAGAAACTCCTTTATGACGTATGCACTCACCTAACAGAGAAGAACCTTCCTTTTGACAGAGCAGTTTTGATACACTCTTTTTGTAGAATCTGCAAGTGGATATTTGGATAGCTGTGAAGATTTCGTTGGAAACTGGAATATCTTCCTATAAAATCTAGACAGAAGCATTCT
Source organism: Homo sapiens (assembly GCF_000001405.40). Classification (NCBI taxonomy): domain Eukaryota; kingdom Metazoa; phylum Chordata; class Mammalia; order Primates; family Hominidae; genus Homo; species Homo sapiens. Next base: position 17,378,538 of record NC_000013.11, read on the forward strand.
CAGAAACTGCTCTGTGATGTCTGCATTCAAGTCACAGAGTTGAACATTGCCTTTCATAGAGCAGGTTTGAAACGCTCTTTTTGTAGTATATGGAAGTGGACTTTTCGGACGGTTTGAGGCCCATGGTGATAAAGGGAATATCTTCCCCTACAAGCTAGAAAGAAGCATTGTGTGAAACTTGTTTGTGATGTGTGTACTCAACTAAGAGAGTTGAACCTTTCTTTTTACAGAGCAGTTTTGAAACACTCTTTTTGTAGAATCTGCGAGGGGATATTTGGATAGATTTCAGGATTTCGTTGGAAACGGGAATATCTTCATATAAAATCTCGACAGAAGCATTCTCAGAAACTTCTTTGTAATATGTGCATTCAAGTCACAGAGTTGAATATTCCCTTTCACAGAGTAGGTTTGAAACACTCTTTTTGTAGTATCTGGAAGTGGACATTTGGAGCGCCTTGACGCCTACGGTGAAAAGGGAAATATCTTCCCATAAAAACTAGACAGAAGTAATCTCAGAATCTTCTTTGGGATATATGCACGCAGCTAACAGAGTTGAACCTTTCTATTGACAGAGCAGTTTTGAAACAGTCTTTCTGTGGAATCTGCAAGTGGATATTTGGATAGCTTGGAGGATTTCGTTGGAAACGGGATTAAGTATAAAAAGTAGACAGCAGCATCCTCAGAATCTTCTTTGTGATGTGTGCATTCAAGTCACAGAGTTGAACATTCCCTTTCGTACAGCAGTGTTGAAACACTCTTTCTGTAGTATCTGGAAGTGAACATTAGGACAGCTTTCAGGTCTATGGTGAGAAAGGAAATATCTTCAAATAAAAACTAGACAGAAGCATTCTCATAAACTTCTTTGTGATGTGTGAACTCAGCTAAGAGACGTGGATCTTTCTTTTGATAGAGCAGTTCTGAAAAACACTTTTTGTTGAATCTGCAAGTGGACATTTGGATAGATTTGAAGATTTCGTTGGAAACGGGAATAACTTCATTTCAAATCTAGACAGAAGCATTCTCAGAAATGTCTTTGTGATGTTTGCATTCAACCCATAGAGTTGAACATTCCCTTTCAGAGAGCAGCTTTGAAGCACTCTTTTTGTAGTATGTGCAAGGGGATATTTGGAGCGCTCTGAGGCCTAAGGTGAAAAATCAAATATCTTCCCATAACCACTAGACAGAAACATTCTCAGAAACTCCTTTATGACGTATGCACTCACCTAACAGAAAAGAACCTTCCTTTTGACAGAGCAGTTTTGATACACTCTTTTTGTGGAATCTGCAAGTGGATATTTGGATAGCTGTGAAGATTTCGTTGGAAACGGGAATATCTTCCTACAAAATCTAGACAGAAGCATTCTCAGAAACTGCTCTGTGATGTCTGCATTCAAGTCACAGCAGTTGAACATTGCCTTTCCTAGAGCAGGTTTGAAACGCTCTTTTTGTAGTATATGGAAGTGGACGTTTCGGACGGTTTGAGGCCCATGGTGATAAAGGGAATATCTTCCCCTACAAGCTAGAAAGAAGCATTCTGTGAAACTTGTTTGTGATGTGTGTACTGAAGTAACAGAGTTGAACCTTTCTTTTTACAGAGCAGTTTTGAAACACTCTTTTTGTAGAATCTGCGAGGGGATATTTGGATAGATTTCAGGATTTCGTTGGAAACGGGAATATCTTTATAGAAAATCTCGACAGAAGCATTCTCAGAAACTTCTTTGTGATATGTGCATTCAAGTCACAGAGTTGAATATTCACTTTCACAGAGTAGGTTTGAAACACTCCTTTTGTAGTATCTGGAAGTGGACATTTGGAGCGCCTTGACGCCTACGGTGAAAAGGGAAATATCTTCCCATAAAAACTAGACAGAAGCAATCTCAGAATCTTCTTTGGGATATATGCACGCAGCTAACAGAGTTGAACCTTTCCATTGACAGAGCAGTTTTGAAACAGTCTTTCTGTGGAATCTGCAAGTGGATATTTGGATACCTTGGAGGATTTCGTTGGAAACGGGATTACGTATAAAAAGTAGACAGCAACATCCTCAGAAACTTCTTTGTGATGTGTGCATTCAAGTCACAGAGTTGAACATTCCCTTTCGTACAGCAGTTTTGAAACACTCTTTCTGTAGTATCTGGAAGTGAACATTAGGACAGCTTTCAGCTCTATGGTGAGAAAGGAAATATCTTCAAATAAAAACTAGACAGAAGCATTCTCATAAACTTGTTTGTGATGTGTGAACTCAGCTAACAGAGGTGGATCTTTCTTTTGATAGAGCAGTTCTGAAAAACACTTTTTGTTGAATCTGCAAGTGGACATTTGGATAGATTTGAAGATTTCGTTGGAAACGGGAATATCTTCAATATCAAATCTAGACAGAAGCATTCTCAGAAACGTCTTTGTGATGTTTGCATTCAACTCATAGAGTGGAACATTCCCTTTCAGAGAGCAGCTTTGAAGCACTCTTTTTGTAGTATGTGCAAGTGGATATTTGGAGCGCTCTGAGGCCTACGGTGAAAAAGCAAATATCTTCCCATAACCACTAGACAGAAACATTCTCAGAAACTCCTTTATGACGTATGTACTCAACTAACAGAGAAGAACCTTCCTTTTGACAGAGCAGTTTTGATACACTCTTTTTGTAGAATCTGCAAGTGGATATTTGTATAGCTGTGAAGATTTCGTTGGAAACGGGAATATCTTCCTATAAAATCTAGACAGAAGCATTCTCAGAAACTGCTCTGTGATGTCTGCATTCAAGTCACAGAGTTGAACATTGCCTTTCATAGAGCAGGTTTGAAATGCTCTTTTTGTAGTATATGGAAGTGGACGTTTCAGACAGTTTGAGGCCCATGGTGATAAAGGGAATATCTTCCCCTACAAGCTAGAAAGAAGCATTCTGTGAAACTTGTTTGTGATGTGTGTACTCAACTAACAGAGTTGAACTTTTCTTTTTACAGAGCAGTTTTGAAACACTCTTTTTGTAGAATCTGCGAGGGGATATTTGGATAGATTTCAGAATTTCGTTGGAAACGGGAATATCTTCATATAAAATCTCGACAGAAGCATTCTCAGAAACTTCTTTGTGATATGTGCATTCAAGTCACAGAGTTGAATATTCCCTTTCACAGAGTAGGTTTGAAACACTCTTTTTGTAGTATCTGGAAGTGGACATTTGGAGCGCCTTGACGCCTACGGTGAAAAGGGAAATATCTTCCCATCAAAACTAGACAGAAGCAATCTCAGCAATCTTCTTTGTGATATATGCACGCAGCTAACAGAGTTGAACCTTTCTATTGACTGAGCAGATTTGAAACAGTCTTTCTGTGGAATCTGCAAGTGGATATTTGGATAGATTGGAGGATTTCGTTGGAAACGGGATTACGTATAAAAAGTACACAGCAGCATCCTCAGAAACTTCCTTGTGATGTGTGCATTCAATTCACAGAGTTGAACATTCCCTTTCGTACAGCAGTTTTGAAACACTCTGTAGTATCTGGAAGTGAACATTAGGACAGCTTTCAGCTCTATGGTGAGAAACGAAATATCTTCAAATAAAAACTAGACAGAAGCATTCTCATAAACTTGTTTGTGATGTGTGAACTCAGCTAACAGAGGTGGATCTTTCTTTTGATAGAGCAGTTCTGAAAAACACTTTTTGTTGAATCTGCAAGTGGACATTTGGATAGATTTGAAGATTTCGTTGGAAACGGGAACATCTTCATATCAAATCTAGACAGAAGCATTCTCAGAAACGTCTTTGTGATGTTTGCATTCAACTCATAGAGTTGAACATTCCCTTTCAGAGAGCAGCTTTGAGGCACTCTTTTTGTAGTATGTGCAAGTGGATATTTGGAGCGCTCTGAGGCCTACGGTGAAAATGCAAATATCTTCCCATAACCACTAGACAGAAACATTCTCAGAAACTCCTTTATGACGTATGCACTCAACTAACAGAAAAGAACCTTCCTTTTGACAGAGCAGTTTTGATACACTCTTTTTGTAGAATCTGCAAGTGGATATTTGGGTAGCTGTGAAGATTTCGTTGGAAACGGGAATATCTTCCTATAAAATCTAGACAGAAGCATTCTCAGAAACTGCTCTGTGATGTCTGCATTCAAGTCACAGAGTTGAACATTGCCTTTCCTAGAGCAGGTTTGAAACGCTCTTTTTGTAGTATATGGAAGTGGACGATTCGGACGGTTTGAGGCCCATGGTGATAAAGGGAATATCTTCCCCTACAAGCTAGAAAGAAGCATTCTGTGAAACTTGTTTGTGATGTGTGTACTCAACTAACAGAGTTGAACCTTTCTTTTTACAGAGCAGTTTTGAAACACTCTTTTTGTAGAATCTGCGAGGGGATATTTTGATAGATTTCAGGATTTCGTTGGAAACGGGAATATCTTCCTATAAAATCTCGACAGAAGCATTCTCAGAAACTTCTTTGTGACATGTGCATTCAAGTCACAGAGTTGAATATTCCCTTTCACAGAGTAGGTTTGAAACACTCTTTTTGTAGTATCTGGAAGTGGACATTTGGAGCGCCTTGACGCCTACGGTGAAAAGGGAAATATCTTCCCATAAAAACTAGACAGAAGCAATCTCAGAATCTTCTTTGGGATATATGCACGCAGCTAACAGAGTTGAACCTTTCTATTAACAGAGCAGTTTTGAAACAGTCTTTCTGTGGAATCTGCAAGTGGATATTTGGATAGCTTGGAGGATTTCGTTGGAAACGGGATTACGTATAAAAAGTAGACAGCAGCCTCCTCAGAAACTTCTTTGTGATGTGTGCATTCAAGTCACAGAGTTGAACATTCCCTTTCGTACAGCAGTTTTGAAACACTCTTTCTGTAGTATCTGGAAGTGAACATTAGTACAGCTTTCAGGTCTATGGTGAGAAAGGCAATATCTTCAAATAAAAACTAGACAGAAGCATTCTCATAAACTTGTTTGTGATGTGTGAACTCAGCTAACAGAGGTGGATCTTTCTTTTGATAGAGCAGTTCTGAAAAACACTTTTTGTTGAATCTGCAAGTGGAGATTTGGATAGATTTGAAGATTTCGTTGGAAACGGGAATATCTTCATATCAAATCTAGACAGAAGCATTCTCAGAAACGTCTTTGTGATGTTTGCATTCAACTCATAGAGTTGAACATTCCCTTTCAGAGAGCAGCTTTGAAGCACTCTTTTTGTAGCATGTGCAAGTGGACATTTGGAGCGCCCTGAGGCCTACGGGGAAAAAGCAAATATCTTCCCATAACCACTAGACAGAAACATTCTCAGAAACTCCTTTATGACGTATGCACTCACCTAACAGAGAAGAACCTTGCTTTTGACAGAGCAGTTTTGATACACTCTTTTTGTAGCATCTGCAAGTGGATATTTGGATAGCTGTGAAGATTTCGTTGGAAACGGGAATATCTTCCTATAAAATCTAGACAGAAGCATTCTCAGAAACTGCTCTGTGATGTCTGCATTCAAGTCACAGAGTTGAACATTGCCTTTCATAGAGCAGGTTTGAAACGCTCTTTTTGTAGTATATGGAAGTGGACTTTTCGGACGGTTTGAGGCCCATGGTGATAAAGGGAATATCTTCCCCTGCAAGCTAGAAAGAAGCATTCTGTGAAACTTGTATTGTGAGGTGTGTACTCAACTAACAGAGTTGAACTTTTCTTTTTACAGAGCAGTTTTGAAACACTCTTTTTGTAGAATCTGCGAGGGGATATTTGGATAGATTTCAGGATTTCGTTGGAAAGGGGAATATCTTCATATAAAATCTCGACAGAAGCATTCTGAGAAACCTCTTTGTGATACCTGCACTCAAGTCACAGAGTTGAATATTCCCTTTCACAGAGTAGGTTTGAAACACTCTTTTTGTAGTATTTGGAAGTGGACATTTGGAGCGCCTTGACGCCTACGGTGAAAAAGGAAATATGAAATATCTTCCCATAAATACTAGACAGAAGCAATCTCAGAATCTTCTTTGGGATGTATGCACCCAGCTAACAGAGTTGAAACTTTCTATTGACAGAGCAGTTTTGAAACAGTCTTTTAGTGGAATCTGCAAGTGGATATTTTGATAGCTTGGAGGATTTCTTTGGAAACGGGATTATGTATACAAAGTAGACAGCAGCATCCTCAGAAACTTCTTTGTGATGTGTGCATTCAAGTCACAGAGTTGAACATTCCTTTTCGTACAGCAGTTTTGAAACACTCTTTCTGTAGTATCTGGAAGTGAACATTATGACAGCTTTCAGGTCTATGGTGAGAAAGGAAATATCTTCAAATAAAAACGAGACAGAAGCATTCTCATAAACTTGTTTGTGATGTGTGAACTCAGCTAACACACGTGGATCTTTCTTTTGATAGAGCAGTTCTGAAAAACAATTTTTGTAGAATCTGCAAGTGGACATTTGGATAGATTTGAAGATTTCCTTGGAAACGGGAATATCTTCATATCAAATCTAGACAGAAGCATTCTCAGAAACGTCTTTGTGATGTTTGCATTCAACTCATAGAGTTGAACATTCCGTTTCAGAGAGCAGCTTTGAAGCACTCTTTTTGTAGTATGTGCAAGTGGATATTTGGAGCGCTCTGAGGCCTACGGGGAAAAAGCAAATATCTTCCCATAACCACTAGACAGAAACATTCTCAGAAACTGCTTTATGACGTATGTACTCAACTAACAGAGAAGAACCTTCCTTTTGACAGAGCAGTTTTGATACACTCTTTTTGTAGAATCTGCAAGTGCATATTTGGATAGCTGTGAAGATTTCGTTGGAAACGGGAATATCTTCCTATAAAATCTAGACAGAAGCATTCTCAGAAACTGCTCTGTGATGTCTGCATTCAAGTCACAGAGTTGAACATTGCCTTTCCTAGAGCAGGTTTGAAACGCTCTTTTTGTAGTATATGGAAGTGGACGTTTCGGACGCTTTGAGGCCCATGGTGATAAAGGGAATATCTTCCCCTACAAGCTAGAAAGAAGCATTCTGTGAAACTTGTTTGTGATGTGTGTACTCAACTAACAGAGTTGAACCTTTCTTTTTACAGAGCAGTTTTGAAACACTCTTTTTGTAGAATCTGCGAGGGGATATTTGGATACATTTCAGAATTTCGTTGGAAACGGGAATATCTTCATATAAAATCTCGACAGAAACATTCTCAGAAACTTCCTTGTGATATGTGCATTCAAGTCACAGACTTGAATATTCCCTTTCACAGAGTAGGTTTGAAACACTCTTTTTGTAGTATCTGGAAGTGGACATTTGGAGCGCCTTGACGCCTACGGTGAAAAGGGAAATATCTTCCCATAAAAACTAGACAGAAGCAATCTCAGAATCTTCTTTGGGATATATGCACGCAGCTAACAGAGTTGAACCTTTCTATTGACACAGCAGTTTTGAAACAGTCTTTCTGTGGAATCTGCAAGTGGATATTTGGATAGCTTGGAGGATTTCGTTGGAAACGGGATTACGTATAAAAAGTAGACAGCAGCATCCTCAGAAACTTCTTTGTGATGTGTGCATTCAAGTCACAGAGTTGAACATTCCCTTTCGTACAGCAGTTTTGAAACACTCTTTCTGTAGTATCTGAAGTGAACAATAGGACAGCTTTCAGGTCTATGATGAGAAAGGAAATATCTTCAAATAAAAACTAGACAGAAGCATTCTCATAAACTTGTTTGTGATGTGTGAACTCAGCAAACAGAGGTGGATCTTTCTTTTGATAGAGCAGTTCTGAAAAACACTTTTTGTTGAATCTGCAAGTGGACATTTGGATAGATTTGAAGATTTCGTTCGAAACGGGAATATCTTCATATCAAATCTAGACAGAAGCATTCTCAGAAAGGTCTTTGTGATGTTTGCATTCAACCCATAGAGTTGAACATTCCGTTTCAGAGAGCAGCTTTGAAGCACTCTTTTTGTAGTATGTGCAAGGGGATATTTTGAGCGCTTTGAGGCCTAAGGTGAAAAAGCAAATATCTTCCCATAACCACTAGACAGAAACATTCTCAGAAACTCCTTTATGACGTATGTACTCAACTAACAGAGAAGAACCTTCCTTTTGACAGAGCAGTTTTGATACACTCTTTTTGTAGAATCTGCAAGTGGATATTTGGATAGCTGTGAAGATTTCGTTGGAAACGGGAATATCTTCCTATAAAATGCCAGACAGAAGCATTCTCAGAAACTGCTCTGTGATGTCTGCATTCAAGTCACAGAGTTGAACATTGCCTTTCATAGAGCAGGTTTGAAACGCTCTTTTTGTAGTATATGTAAGTGGATGTTTCGGACGGTTGGAGGCCCATGGTGATAAAGGGAATATCTTCCCCTACAAGCTAGAAAGAAGCATTCTGTGAAACTTGTTTGTGATGTGTGTACTCAACTAACAGAGTTGAACCTTTCTTTTTACAGAGCAGTTTTGAAACACTCTTTTTGTAGAATCTGCGAGGGGATATTTGGATACATTTCAGCATTTCGTTGGAAACGGGAATATCTTCATATAAAATCTCGACAGAAGCATTCTCAGAAACTTCCTTGTGATATGTGCATTCAAGTCACAGAGTTGAATATTCCCTTTCACAGAGTAGGTTTGAAACACTCTTTTTGTAGTATCTGGAAGTGCACATTTGGAGCGCCTTGACGCCCACGGTGAAAAGGGAAATATCTTCCCATAAAAACTAGACAGAAGCAATCTCAGCAATCTTCTTTGGGATATATGCACGCAGCTAACAGAGTTGAACCTTTCTATTGACAGAGCAGTTTTGAAACAGTCTTTCTGTGGAATCTGCAAGTGGATATTTGGATAGCTTGGAGGATTTCGTTGGAAACGGGATTACGTATATAAAGTAGACCACAGCATCCTCAGAAACTTCTTTGTGATGTGTGCATTCAAGTCACAGAGTTGAACATTCCCTTTCGTACAGCAGTTTTGAAACACTCTTTCTGTAGTATCTGGAAGTGTACATTAGGACAGCTTTCAGGTCTATGGTGAGAAAGGAGATATCTTCAAATAAAAACTAGACAGAAGCATTCTCATAAACTTGTTTGTGATGTGTGAACTCAGCTAACAGAGGTGGATCTTTCTTTTGATAGAGCAGTTCTGAAAAACACGTTTTGTTGAATCTGCAAGGGGACATTTGGATAGATTTGAAGATGTCGTTGGAAACGGGAATATCTTCATATCAAATCTAGACAGAAGCATTCTCGGAAACGTCTTTGTGATGTTTGCATTCAACTCAGAGAGTTGAACATTCCGTTTCAGAGAGCAGCTTTGAAGCACTCTTTTTGTAGTATGTGCAAGTGGATATTTGGAGCGCTCTGAGGCCTACGGTGAAAAAGCAAATATCTTCCCATAACCACTAGACAGAAACATTCTCAGAAACTCCTTTATGACGTATGCACTCACCTAACAGAGAAGAACCTTCCTTTTGACAGAGCAGTTTTGATACACTCTTTTTGTAGAATCTGCAAGTGGATATTTGGATAGCTGTGAAGATTTCGTTGGAAACGGGAATATCTTCCTATAAAATCTAGACAATAACATTCTCAGGAACTGCTCTGTGATGTCTGCATTCAAGTCACAGAGTTGAACATTGCCTTTCCTAGAGCAAATTTGAAACGCTCTTTTTGTAGTATATGGAAGTGGACGTTTCGGACGGTTTGAGGCCCATGGTGATAAAGGGAATATCTTCCCCTACAAGCTAGAAAGAAGCATTCTGTGAAACTTGTTTGTGATGTGTGTACTCAACTAACAGAGTTGAACCTTTCTTTTTACAGAGCAGTTTTGAAACACTCTTTTTGTAGAATCTGCGAGGGGATATTTGGATAGATTTCAGGATTTCGTTGGAAACGGGAATATCTTAATATAAAATCTCGACAGAAGCATTCTCAGAAACTTCTTTGTGATATCTGCATTCAAGTCACAGAGTTGAATATTCCCTTTCACAGAGTAGGTTTGAAACACTCTTTTTGTAGTATCTGGAAGTGGACATTTGGAGCGCCGTGACGCCTACGGTGAAAAGGAAAATATCTTCCCATAAAAACTAGACAGAAGGAATCTCAGAATCTTCTTTGGGATATATGCACGCAGCTAACAGAGTTGAACCTTTCTATTGACAGAGCAGTTTTGAAACAGTCTTTCTGTGGAATCTGCAAGTGGATATTTGGATAGCTTGGAGGATTTCGTTGGAAACGGGATTACGTATAAAAAGTAGACAGCAGCATCCTCAGAAACTTCTTTGTGATGTGTGCATTCAAGTCACAGATTTGAACATTCCCTTTCGTACAGCAGTTTTGAAACACTCTTTCTGTCGTATCTGGAAGTGAACATTAGGACAGCTTTCAGCTCTATGGTGAGAAAGGAAATATCTTCAAATAAAAACTAGACAGAAGCATTCTCATAAACTTGTTTGTGATGTGTGAACTCAGCTAACAGAGGTGAATCTTTCTTTTGATAGAGCAGTTCTGAAAAACACTTTTTGTTGAATCTGCAAGTGGACATTTGGATAGATTTGAAGATTTCGTTGGAAACGGGAATATCTTCATATCAAATCTAGACAGAAGCATTCTCAGAAACGTCTTTGTGATGTTTGCATTCAAGTCATAGAGTTGAACATTCCGTTTCAGAGAGCAGCTTTGAAGCACTCTTTTTGTAGTATGTGCAAGTGGATATTTGGAGCGCTCTGAGACCTACGGGTGAAAAAGCAAATATCTTCCCATAACCACTAGACAGAAACATTCTCAGAAACTCCTTTATGACGTATGTACTCAACTAACAGAGGAGAACCTTCCTTTTGACAGAGCAGTTTTGATACACTCTTTTTGTAGAATCTGCAAGTGGATATTTGGATAGCTTGGAAGATTTCGTTGGAAAAGGGAATATCTTCCTATAAAACCTAGACAAAAGCATTCTCAGAAACTGCTCTGTGATGTCTGCATTCAAGTCACAGAGTTGAACATTGCCTTTCATAGAGCAGGTTTGAAACGCTCTTTTTGTAGTATATGGAAGTGGACTTATCGGACGGTTGGAGGCCCATGGTGATAAAGGGAATATCTTCCCCTACAAGCTAGAAAGAAGCATTCTGTGAAACTTGTTTGTGATGTGTGTACTCAACTAACAGAGTTGAACCTTTCTTTTTACAGAGCAGTTTTGAAACATTCTTTTTGTAGAATCTGCGAGGGGATATTTGGATAGATTTCAGGATTTCGTTGGAAACGGGAATATCTTCATATAAAATCTCGACAGAAGCATTCTCAGAAACTTCTTTGTGATATGTGCATTCAAGTCACAGAGTTGAATATTCCCTTTCACAGAGTAGGTTTGAAACACTCTTTTTGTAGTATCTGGAAGTGGACATTTGGAGCGCCTTGACACCTACGGTGAAAAGGGAAATATCTTCCCATAAAAACTAGACAGAAGCAATCTCAGAATCTTCTTTGGGATATATGCACGCAGCTCACAAAGTTGAACCTTTCTATTGACAGAGCAGTTTTGAAACAGTCTTTCTGTGGAATCTGCAAGTGGATATTTGGATAGCTTGGAGGATTTCGTTGGAAACGGGATTACGTATAAAAATTAGACAGCAGCATCCTCAGAAACATCCTTGTGATGTGTGCATTCAAGTCACAGAGTTGAACATTCCCTTTCGTACAGCAGTTTTGAAACACTCTTTCTGTAGTATCTGGAAGTGAACTTTAGGACAGCTTTCAGGTCTATAGTGAGAAAGGTTATATCTTCAAATAAAAACTAGACAGAAGCATTCTGATAAACTTGTTTGTGAAGTGTGATCTCAGCTAACAGAGGTGGATCTTTCTTTTGATAGAGCAGTTCTGAAAAACACTTTGTTGAATCTGCAAGTGGACATTTGGATAGATTTGAAGATTTCGTTGTAAACGGGAATATCTTCATATCAAATCTAGACAGAAGCAGTCTCAGAAACGTCTTTGTGATGTTTGCATTCAACTCATAGAGTTGAACATTCCGTTTCAGAGAGCAGCTTTGAAGCACTCTTTTTGTAGTATGTGCAAGTGGATATTTGGAGCGCTCTGAGGCCTACGGTGAAAAAGCAAATATCTTCCCTTAACCACTAGACAGAAACATTCTCAGAAACTCCTTTATGACGTATGTACTCAACTAACAGAAGAAGAACCTTCCTTTTGACAGAGCAGTTTTGATACACTCTTTTTGTAGAATCTGCAAGTGGATATTTGGATAGCTGTGAAGATTTCGTTGGAAACGGGAATATCTTCCTATAAAATCTAGACAGAAGCATTCTCAGAAACTGCTCTGTGATGTGTGCATTCAAGTCACAGAGTTGAACATTGCCTTTCATAGAGCAGGTTTGAAACGCTCTTTTTTGTAGTATATGGAAGTGGACGTTTCGGACGGTTTGAGGCCCATGGTGATAAAGGGAATATCTTCCCCTACCAGCTAGAAAGAAGCATTCTGTGAAACTTGTTTGTGATGTGTGTACTCAACTAACAGAGTTGAACCTTTCTTTTTACAGAGCAGTTTTGAAACACTCTTTTTGTAGAATCTGCGTGGGGATATTTGGATAGATATCAGGATTTCCTTGGAAACGGGAATATCTTCTTTGAAAATCTCGGCAGAAGCATTCTCAGAAACTTCATTGTGATATCTGCATTCAAGTCACAGAGTTGAATATTCCCTTTCACAGAGTAGGTTTGAAACACTCTTTTTGTAGTATCTGGAAGTGGACATTTGGAGCGCCTTGACACCTACGGTGAAAAGGGAAATATCTTCCCATAAAAGCTAGACAGAAGCAATCTCAGAATCTTCTTTGGGATATATGCACGCAGCTAACAGAGTTGAACATTTCTATTGACAGAGCAGTTTTGAAACAGTCTTTCTGTGGAATCTGCAAGTGGATATTTGGATAGCTTGGAGGATTTCGTTGGAAACGGGATTACGTATAAAAAGTAGACAGCAGCATCCTCAGAAACTTCTTTGTGATGTGTGCATTCAAGTCACAGAGTTGAACATTCCCTTTCGTACAGCAGTTTTGAAACACTCTTTCTGTAGTATCTGGAAGTGAACATTAGGACAGCTTTCAGCTCTGTGGTGAAAAAGGAAATATCTTCAAATAAAAACTAGACAGAAGCATTCTCATAAACTTGTTTGTGATGTGTGAACTCAGCTAACAGACGTGGATCTTTCTTTTGATAGAGCAGTTTTGAAAAACCCTTTTTGTTGAATCTGCAAGTGGACATTTGGATAGATTTGAAGATTTCGTTGGAAACGGGAATATCTTCATATCAAATCTAGACAGAAGCATTCTCAGAAACGTCTTTGTGATGTTTGCATTCAACTCATAGAGTTGAACATTCCGTTTCAGAGAGCAGCTTTGAAGCACTCTTTTTGTAGTATGTGCAAGTGGATATTTGGAGCGCTGTGAAGCCTACGGTGAAAAAGCAAATATCTTCCCATAACCACTAGACAGAAACATTCTCAGAAATTCCTTTATGACGTATGTACTCAAGTAACAGAGAAGAACCTTCCTTTTGACAGAGCAGTTTTGATAAACTCTTTTTGTAGAATCTGCAAGTGGATATTTGGATAGCTGTGAAGATTTCGTTGGAAACGGGAATATCTTCCTATAAAATCTAGACAGAAGCATTCTCAGAAACTGCTCTGTGATGTCTGCATTCAAGTCACAGAGTTGAACATTGCCTTTCATAGAGCAGGTTTGAAACACTCTTTTTTTAGTATATGGAAGTGGACGTTTCGGACGGTTTGAGGCCCATGGTGATAAAGGAAATATCTTCCCCTACAAGCTAGAAAGAAGCATTCTGTGAAACTTGTTTGTGAAGTGTGTACTCAAGTAACAGAGTTGAACCTTTCTTTTTACAGAGCAGTTTTGAAACACTCTTTTTGTAGAATCTGCGAGGGGATATTTGGATAGATTTCAGGATTTCGTTGGAAACGGGAATATCTTCATATAAAATCTCGACAGAAGCATTCTCAGAAACTTCTTTGTGATATGTGCATTCAAGTCACAGAGTTGAATATTCCCTTTCACAGAGTACGTTTGAAACACTCTTTTTGTAGTATCTGGAAGTGGACATTTGGAGCGCCTTGACGCCTACGGTGAAAAGGGAAATATCTTCCCATAAAAACTAGACAGAAGCAATCTCAGAATCTTCTTTGGGATATATGCACGCAGCTAACAGAGTTGAACCTTTCTATTGACAGAGCAGCTTTGAAACAGTCTTTCTGTGGAATCTGCAAGTGGATATTTGGATAGCTTGGAGGATTTCGTTGGAAACGGGATTACGTATAAAAAGTAGACAGCAGCATCCTCAGAAACTTCTTTGTGATGTGTGCATTCAAGTCACAGAGTTGAACATTCCCTTTCGTACAGCAGTTTTGAAACACTCTTTCTGTAGTATCTGGAAGTGAACATTAGGACAGCTTTCAGCTCTATGGTGAGAAAGGAAATATTTTCAAATAAAAACTAGACAGAAGCATTCTCATAAACTTGTTTGTGATGTGTGAACTCAGCTAACAGAGGTGGATCTTTCTTTTGATAGAGCAGTTCTGAAAAACACTTTTTGTTGAATCTGCAAGTGGACATTTGGATAGATTTGAAGATTTCCTTGGAAACGGGAATATCTTCATATCAAATCTAGACAGAAGAATTCTCAGAAACGTCTTTGTGATGTTTGCATTCAACTCATAGAGTTCAACATTCCCTTTCAGAGAGCAGCTTTGAAGCACTCTTTTTGTAGTATGTGCAAGTGGATATTTGGAGCGCTCTGAGGCCTACGGTGAAAAATCAAATATCTTCCCATAACCACTAGACAGAAACATTCTCAGAAACTCCTTTATGACGTATGCACTCACCTAACAGAAAAGAACCTTCCTTTTGACAGAGCAGTTTTGATACACTCTTTTTGTAGAATCTGCAAGTGGATATTTGGATAGCTGTGAAGATTTCGTTGGAAACGGGAATATCTTCCTATAAAATCTAGACAGAAGCATTCTCAGAAACTGCTCTGTGATGTCTGCATTCAAGTCACAGAGTTGAACATTGCCTTTCCTAGAGCAGGTTTGAAACGCTCTTTTTGTAGTATATGGAAGTTGACGTTTCGGAAGGTTTGAGGCCCATGGTGATAAAGGGAATATCTTCCCCTACAAGCTAGAAAGAAGCATTCTGTGAAACTTGTTTGTGATATGTGTACTCAACTAACAGAGTTGAACCTTTCTTTTTACAGAGCAGTTTTGAAACACTCTTTCTGTAGAATCTGCGAGGGGATATTTGGATAGATTTCAGGATTTCGTTGGAAACGGGAATATCTTCATATAAAATCTCGACAGAAGCATTCTCAGAAACTTCTTTGTGATATGTGCATTCAAGTCACAGAGTTGAATATTCCCTTTCACAGAGTAGGTTTGAAACACTCTTTTTGTAGTATCTGGAAGTGGACATTTGGAGCGCCTTGACGCCTATGGTGAAAAGGGAAATATCTTCCCATGAAAACTAGACAGAAGCAATATCAGAATCTTCTTTGGGATATATGCACGCAGCTAACAGAGTTGAACCTTTCTATTGACAGAGCAGTTTTGAAACAGTCTTTCTGTGGAATCTGCAAGTGGATATTTGGATAGCTTGGAGGATTTCTTTGGAAACGGGATTACGTATAAAAAGTAGACAGCAGCATCCTCAGAAACATCCTTGTGATGTGTGCATTCAAGTCACAGAAGTTGAACATTCCCTTTCGAACAGCAGTTTTGAAACACTCTTTCTGTAGTATCTGGAAGTGAACTTTAGGAGAGCTTTCAGGTCTATAGTGAGAAAGGATATATCTTCAAATAAAAACTAGACAGAAGCATTCTGATAAACTTGTTTGTGAAGTGTGATCTCAGCTAACAGAGGTGGATCTTTCTTTTGATAGAGCAGTTCTGAAAAACGCTTTGTTGAATCTGCAAGTGGACATTTGGATAGATTTGAAGATTTCGTTGGAAACGGGAATATCTTCATATCAAATCTAGACAGAAGCATTCTCAGAAACGTCTTTGCGATGTTTGCATTCAACTCATAGAGTTGAACATTCCCTTTCAGAGACCAGCTTTGAAGCACTCTTTTTGTAGTATGTGCAAGTGGATATTTGGAGCGCTCTGAGGCCTACGGTGAAAAAGCAAATATCTTCCCATAACCACTAGACAGAAACATTCTCAGAAACTTCTTTATGACGTATGTACTCAAGTAGCAGAGAAGAACTTTCCTTTTGACCGAGCATTTTTGATACACTCTTTTTGTACTATCTGCAAGTGGATATTTGGATAGCTGTGAAGATTTCGTTGGAAACGGGAATATCTTCCTATAAAGTCTGGACAGAAGCATTCTCAGAAACTGCTCTGTGATGTCTGCATTCAAGTCACAGAGTTGAACATTGCCTTTCATAGAGCAGGTTTGAAACACTCTTTTTTTAGTATATGGAAGTGGACGTTTCGGACGGTTTGAGGACCATGGTGATAAAGGAAATATCTTCCCCTACAAGCTAGAAAGAAGCATTCTGTGAAACTTGTTTGTGATGTGTGTACTCAACTAACAGAGTTGAACCTTTCTTTTTACAGATCAGTGTTGAAACACTCTTTTTGTGGAATCTGCGAGGGGATATTTGGATAGATTTCAGGATTTCGTTGGAAACGGGAATATCTTCATATAAAATCTCGACGGAAGCATTCTCAGAAACTTCTTTGTGACATCTGCCTTTAAGTCACAGAGTTGAATATTCCCTTTCACAGAGTAGGTTTGAAACACTCTTTTTGTAGTATCTGGAAGTGGACATTTGGAGCGCCTTGACACCTACGGTGAAAAGGGAAATATCTTCCCATAAAAACTAGACAGAAGCAATCTCAGAATCTTCTTTGGGATATATGCACACAGCTAACAGAGTTGAACCTTTCTATTGACAGAGCAGTTTTGAAACAGTCTTTCTGTGGAATCTGCAAGTGGATATTTGGATAGCTTGGAGGATTTCGTTGGAAACGGGATTAAGTATAAAAAGTAGACAGCAGCATCCTCAGAAACTTCTTTGTGATGTGTGCATTCAAGTCACAGAGTTGAATATTCCCTTTCGTACAGCAGTTTTGAAACACTCTTTCTGTAGCATCTGGAAGTGAACATTAGGACAGCTTTCAGGTCTATGGTGAGAAAGGAAATATCTTCAAATAAAAACTAGACAGAAGCATTCTCATAAACTTGTTTGTGATGTGTGAACTCAGCTAACAGAGGTGTATCTTTCCTTTGATAGAGCAGTTCTGAAAAACACGTTTTGTTGAATCTGCAAGTGGACATTTTGATAGATTTGAAGATTTCGTTGCAAACGGGAATATCTTCATATCAAAGCTAGACAGAAGCATTCTCAGAAACGTCTTTGTGATGTTTGCATTCAACTCATAGAGTTGAACATTCCCTTTCAGAGAGCAGCTTTGAAGCACTCTTTTTAAGTATGTGCAAGTGGACATTTGGAGCGCTTTGAGGCCTACGGGGAAAAAGTAAATATCTTACCATAACCCCTAGACAGAAACATTCTCAGAAACTTCTTTATCACGTATGTACTCAACTAAAACAGAAGAACCTTCCTTTTGAGAGAGCAGTTTTGATACACTCCATTGGAGAATCTGCAAGTGGATATTTGGATAGCTGTGAAGAATTCGTTGGAAACGGGAATACCTTCCTATAAAATCTAGACAGAAGCATTCTCAGAAACTGCTCTGTGATGTCTGCATTCAAGTCACAGTAGTTGAACATTGTCTTTCATAGAGCAGGTTTGAAGCGCTCTTTTTGTAGTATATGGAAGTGGACGTTTCGGACGGTTTGAGGCCCATGGTGATAAAGGGAATATCTTCCCCTACAAGCTAGAAAGAAGCATTCTGTGAAACTTGTTTGTGATGTGTGTACTCAACTAACAGAGTTGAACCTTTCTTTTTACAGAGCAGTTTTGAAACACTCTTTTTGTAGAATCTGCGAGGGGATATTTGGAGAGATTTCAGGATTTTGTTGGAAACGGAAATATCTTCATATAAAATCTCGACAGAAGCATTCTCAGAAACTTCCTTGTGATATGTGCATTCAAGTCACAGAGTTGAATGTTCCCTTTCACAGAGTAGGTTTGAAACACTCTTTTTGTAGTATCTGGAAATGGACATTTGGAGCGCCTTGACGCCTACGGTGAAAAGGGAAATATCTTCCCATCAAAACTAGACAGAAGCAATCTCAGAATCTTCTTTGGGATATATGCACGCAGCTAACAGAGTTGAACCTTTCTATTGACAGAGCAGTTTTGAAACAGTCTTTCTGTGGAATCTGCAAGTGGATATTTGGATAGCTTGGAGTATTTCGTTGGAAACGGGATTAAGTATAAAAAGTAGACAGCAGCATCCTCAGAAACTTCTTTGTGATGTGTGCATTCAAGTCACAGAGTTGAACATTCCCTTTCGTACAGCAGTTTTGAAACACTCTTTCTGTAGTAACTGGAACTGAACATTAGGACAGCTTTCAGGTCTATGGTGAGAAAGGAAATATCTTCAAATAAAAACTAGACAGAAGCATTCTCATAAACTTGTTTGTGATGTGTGAACTCAGCTTAGAGACGTGGATCTTTCTTTTGATAGAGCAGTTCTGAAAAACACGTTTTGTTGAATCTGCAAGTGGACATTTGGATAGATTTGAAGATTTCGTTGGAAACGGGAATATCTTCATATCAAATCTAGACAGAAGCATTCTCAGAAACGTCTTTGTGATGTTTGCATTCAACTCATAGAGTTGAACATTCCGTTTCAGAGAGCAGCTTTGAAGCACTCTTTTTGTAGTATCTGCAAGTGGATATTTGGAGCGCTCTGAGGCCTACGGTGAAAAAGCAAATATCTTCCCATAACCGCTAGACAGAAACATTCTCAGAAACTCCTTTATGACGTATGTACTCAACTAAGAGAGAAGAACCTTCCTTTTGACAGAGCAGTTTTGATACACTCTTTTTGTAGAATCTGCAAGTGGATATTTGGATAGCTGTGAAGATTTCGTTGCAAACGGGAATATCTTCCTATAAAATCTAGACAGAAGCATTCTCAGAAACTGCTCTGTGATGTCTGCATTCAAGTCACAGAGTTCAACATTGCCTTTCATAGAGCAGGTTTGAAACGCTCTTTTTGTAGTATATGGAAGTGGACGTTTCGGACGGTTTGAGGCCCATGGTGATAAAGGGAATATCTTCCCCTACAAGCTAGAAAGAAGCATTCTGTGAAACTTGTTTGTGATGTGTGTACTCAACTAACAGAGTTGAACCTTTCTTTTTACAGAGCAGTGTTGAAACACTCTTTTTGTGGAATCTGCGAGGGGATATTTGGATAGATTTCAGGATTTCGTTGGAAACGGGAATATCTTCATATAAAATCTCGACGGAAGCATTCTCAGAAACTTCTTTGTGATATCTGCATTGAAGTCACAGAGTTGAATATTCCCTTCCACAGAGTAGGTTTGAAAGACTCTTTTTGTAGTATCTGGAAGTGGACATTTGGAGCGCCTTGACGCCTACGGTGAAAAGGGAAATATCTTCCCATAAAAACTAGACAGAAGCAATCTCAGTAATCTTCTTTGGGATATATGTACGCAGCTAACAGAGTTGAACCTTTCTATTGACAGAGCAGTTTTGAAACAGTCTTTCTGTGGAATCTGCAAGTGGATATTTGGATAGCTTGGAGGATTTCGTTGGAAACGGGATTACGTATAAAAAGTAGACAGCCGCATCCTCAGAAACTTCTTTGTGATGTGTGCATTCAAGTCACAGAGTTGAACATTCCCTTTCGTACAGCAGTTTTGAAACACTCTTTCTGTAGTATCTGGAAGTGAACATTAGGACAGCTTTCAGGTCTATGGTGAGAAAGGAAATATCTTCAAATAAAAACTAGACAGAAGCATTCTGATAAACTTGTTTGTGAAGTGTGATCTCAGCTAACAGAGGTGGATCTTTCTTTTGATAGAGCAGTTCTGAAGAACACTTTGTTGAATCTGGAAGTGGACATTTGGATAGATTTGAAGATTTCGTTGGAAACGGGAATATCTTCATATCAAATCTAGACAGAAGCATTCTCAGAAACGTCTTTGTGATGTTTGCATTCAACTCATAGAGTTGAACATTCCGTTTCAGAGAGCAGCTTTGAAGCACTCTTTTTGTAGTATGTGCAAGTGGATATTTGGAGCGCTCTGAGGCCTACGGTGAAAAAGCAAATATCTTCCCATAACCACTAGACAGAAGCATTCTCAGAAACTCCTTTATGACGTATGCACTCACCTAACAGAAAAGAACCTTCCTTTTGACAGAGCAGTTTTGATACACTCTTTTTGTAGAATCTGCAAGTGGATATTTGGATAGCTGTGAAGATTTCGTTGGAAACGGGAATATCTTCCTATAAAATACTAGACAGAAGCATTCTCAGAAACTGCTCTGTGATGTCTGCATTCAAGTCACAGAGTTGAACATTGCCTTTCCTAGAACAGGTTTGAAACGCTCTTTTTGTAGTATATGGAAGTGGACGTTTCGGACGGTTTGAGGCCCATGGTGATAAAGGGAATATCTTCCCCTACAAGCTAGAAGGAAGCATTCTGTGAAACTTGTTTGTGATGTGTGTACTCAACTAACAGAGTTGAACCTTTCTTTTCACAGAGCAGTTTTGAAACACTCTTTTTGTAGAATCTGCGAGGGGAAATTTGGATAGAATTCAGGATTTCGTTGGAAACGGGAATATCTTCATACAAAATCTCGACAGAAGCATTCTCAAAAACTTCTTTGTGATATGTGCATTCAAGTCACAGAGTTGAATATTCCCTTTCACAGAGTAGGTTTGAAACACTCTTTTTGTAGTATCTGGAAGTGGACATTTGGAGCGCCTTGACACCTACCGTGAAAAGGGAAATATCTTCCCATAAAAACTAGACAGAAGCAATCTCAGAATCTTCTTTGGGATATATGCACGCAGCTAACAGAGTTGAACCTTTCTATTGACAGAGCAGTTTTGAAACAGTCTTTCTGTGGAATCTGCAAGTGGATATTTGGATAGCTTGGAGGATTTCGTTGGAAACGGGATTACGTATAAAAAGTAGACAGCAGCATCCTCAGAAACTTCTTTGTGATGTGTGCATTCAAGTCACAGAGTTGAACATTCCTTTTCGTACAGCAGTTTTGAAACACTCTTTCTGTAGTACCTGGAAGTGAACATTAGGACAGCTTTCAGCTCTATGGTGAGAAAGGAAATATCTTCAAATAAAAACTAGACAGAAAGCATTCTCATAAACTTGTTTGTGATGTGTGAACTCAGCTAACAGAGGTGGATCTTTCTTTTGATACAGCAGTTTTGAAAAACACTTTTTGTTGAATCCGCAAGTGGACATTTGGATAGATTTGAAGATTTCATTGGAAACGGGAATATCTTCATATCAAATCTAGACAGAAGCATTCTCAGAAACGTCTTTGTGATGTTTGCATTCAACTCATAGAGTTGAACATTCCGTTTCAGAGAGCAGCTTTGAAGCTCTCTTTTTGTAGTATGTGCAAGTGGATATTTGGAGCGCTCTGAGGCCTACGGTGAAAAAGCAAATATCTTCCCATAACCACTAGACAGAAACATTCTCAGAAACTCCTTTATGACGTATGCACTCACCTAACTGAGAAGAACCTTCCTCTTGACAGAGCAGTTTTGATACACTCTTTTTGTAGAATCTGCAAGTGGATATTTGGATAGCTGTGAAGATTTCGTTGAAAACGGGAATATCTTCCTATAAAATCTAGACAGAAGCATTCTCAGAAACTGCTCTGTGATGTCTGCATTCAAGTCACAGAGTTGAACATTGCCTTTCATAGAGCAGGTTTGAAACGCTCTTTTCGTAGTATATGGAAGTGGACGTTTCGGACGGTTTGAGGCCCATGGTGATAAAGTGAATATCTTCCCCTACCAGCTAGAAGGAAGCATTCTGTGAAACTTGTTTGTGATGTGTGTACTCAACTAACAGAGTTGAACCTTCCTTTTCACAGAGCAGTTTTGAAACACTCTTTTTGTAGAATCTGCGAGGGGATATTTGGATAGATTTCAGGATTTCGTTGGAAACGGGAATATCTTCATATAAAATCTCGACAGAAGCATTCTCAGAAACTTCTTTGTGATATCTGCATTCAAATCACTGAGTTGAATATTCCCTTTCACAGAGTAGGTTTGAAACACTCTTTTTGTAGTATCTGGAAGTGGACATTTGGAGCGCCTTGACGCCTACGGTGAAAAGGGAAATATCTTCCCATAAAAACTAGACAGAAGCAATCTCAGAATCTTCTTTGGGATATATGGACACAGCTAACAGAGTTGAACCTTTCTATTGACAGAGCAGTTTTGAAACAGTCTTTCTGTGGAATCTGCAAGTGGATATTTGGATAGCTTGGAGGATTTCGTTGGAAACGGGATTACGTATAAAAAGTAGACAGCAGCATCCTCAGAAACTTCTTTGTGATGTGTGCATTCAAGTTACAGAGTTGAACATTCCCTTTCGTACAGCAGTTTTGAAACACTCTTTCTGTAGTATCTGGAAGTGAACATTAGGACAGCTTTCAGGTCTATGGTGAGAAAGGAAATATCTTCAAATAAAAACTAGACAGAAGCATTCTCATAAACTTGTTCGTGATGTGTGAACTCAGCTAACACACGTCGATCATTCTTTTGATAGAGCAGTTCTGAAAAACACTTTTTGTTGAATCTGCAAGAGGACATTTGGATAGATTTGAAGATTTCGTTGGAAACGGGAATATCTTCATATCAAATCTAGACAGAAGCATTCTCAGAAACGTCTTTGTGATGTTTGCATTCAACTCATAGAGTTGAACATTCCGTTTCAGAGAGCAGGTTTGAAGCACTCTTTTTGTAGTATGTGCAAGTGGATATTTGGAGCGCTCTGAGGCCTACGGTGAAAAAGCAAATATCTTCCCATAACCACTAGACAGAAACATTCTCAGAAACTCCTTTATGACGTATGCACTCACCTAACAGAGAAGAACCTTCCTTTTGACAGAGCAGTTTTGATACACTCTTTTTGTAGAATCTGCAAGTGGATATTTGGATACCTGTGAAGATTTCGTTGGAAACGGGAATATCTTCCTATAAAATCTATACAGAAGCATTCTCAGAAACTGCTCTGTGATGTCTGCATTCAAGTCACAGAGTTGAACATTGCCTTTCATAGAGCAGGTTTGAAATGCTCTTTTTGTAGTATATGGAAGTGGACGTTTCGGACGGTTTGAGGACCATGGTGATAAAGGGAATATCTTCCCCTACAAGCTAGAAAGAAGCATTCTGTGAAACTTGTTTGTGATGTGTGTACTCAACTAACAGAGTTGAACCTTTCTTTTTACAGAGCAGTTTTGAAACACTCTTTTTGTAGAATCTGCGAGGGGATATTTGGATACATTTCAGGATTTCGTTGGAAACGGGAATATCTTCATATAAAATCTCGACAGAAGCATTCTCAGAAACTTCTTTGTGATATGTGCATTCAAGTCACAGAGTTGAATATTCCCTTTCACGGAGTAGGTTTGAAACACTCTTTTTGTAGTATCTGGAAGTGGACATTTGGAGCGCCTTGACGCCTACGGTGAAAAGGGAAATATCTTCCCATAAAAACTAGACAGAAGCAATCTCAGAATCTTCTTTGGGATATATGCACGCAGCTAACAGAGTTGAACCTTTCTATTGACAGAGCAGTTTTGAAACAGTCTTTCTGTGGAATCTGCAAGTGGATATTTGGATAGCTTGGAGGATTTCGTTGGAAACGGGATTACGTATCAAAAGTAGACAGCAGCATCCTCAGAAACTTCTTTGTGATGTGTGCATTCAAGTCACAGAGTTGAACATTCCCTTTCGTACAGCAGTTTTGAAACACTCTTTCTGTAGTATCTGGAAGTGAACATTAGGACAGCTTTCAGGTCTATGGTGAGAAAGGAAATATCTTCAAATAAAAACCAGACAGAAGCATTCTCATAAACTTGTTTGTGATGTGTGAACTCAGCTAACACACGTGGATCTTTCTTTTGATAGAGCAGTTCTGAAAAACACTTTTTGTTGAATCTGCAAGTGGACATTTGGATAGATTTGAAGATTTCGTTGGAAACGGGAATATCTTCATATCAAATCTAGACAGAAGCATTCTCAGAAACGTCTTTGTGATGTTTGCATTCAACTCATAGAGTTGAACATTCCCTTTCAGAGAGCAGCTTTGAAGCACTCTTTTTGTAGTATGTGCAAGTGGATATTTGGAGCGCTCTGAGGCCTACGGTGAAAAAGCAAATATCATCCCATAACCACTAGACAGAAGCATTCTGATAAACTTGTTTGTGAAGTGTGAACTCAGCTAACGGAGGTGGATTTTTCTTTTGATAGAGCAGTTCTGAAAAACACTTTTTGTTGAATCTGCAAGTGGACATTTGGATAGATTTGAAGATTTCGTTGGAAACGGGAATATCTTCATATCAAATCTAGACAGAAGCATTCTCAGAAACTGCTCTGTGATGTCTGCATTCAAGTCACAGAGTTGAACATTGCCTTTCATAGAGCAGGTTTGAAACGCTCTTTTTGTAGTATATGGAAGTGGACGTTTCGGACGGTTTGAGGCCCATGGTGATAAAGGGAATATCTTCCCCTACAAGCTAGAAAGAAGCATTCTGTGAAACTTGTTTGTGATGTGTGTACTCAACTAACAGAGTTGAACCTTTGTTTTTACAGAGCAGTTTTGAAACACTCTTTTTGTAGAATCTGCGAGGGGATATTTGGATACATTTCAACATTTCGTTGGAAACGGGAATATCTTCATATAAAATCTCGACAGAAGCATTCTCAGAAACTTCCTTGTGATATGTGCATTCAAGTCACAGAGTTGAATATTCCCTTTCACAGAGTAGGTTTGAAACACTCTTTTTGTAGTATCTGGAAGTGGACATTTGGAGCGCCTTGACACCTACGGTGAAAAGGGAAATATCTTCCCATAAAAACTAGACAGAAGCAATCTCAGAATCTTCTTTGGGATATATGCACGCAGCTAACAGAGTTGAACCTTTCTATTGACAGAGCAGTTTTGAAACAGTCTTTCTGTGGAATCTGCAAGTGGATATTTGGATAGCTTGGAGGATTTCGTTGAAAACGGGATTACGTATAAAAAGTAGACAGCAGCATCCTCAGAAACTTCTTTGTGATGTGTGCATTCAAGTCACAGAGTTGAACATTCCGTTTCATACAGCAGTTTTGAAACACTCTTTCTGTAGTATCTGGAAGTAAACATTACGACAGCTTTCAGGTCTATGGTGAGAAAGGAAATATCTTCAAATAAAAACTAGACAGAAGCATTCTCATAAACTTGTTTGTGATGTGTGAACTCAGCTAACAGAGGTGGATCTTTCTTTTGATAGAGCAATTCTGAAAAACACTTTTTGTTGAATCTGCAAGTGGACATTTGGATAGATTTGAAGATTTCGTTGGAAACGGGAATATCTTCATATCAAATCTAGACAGAAGCATTCTCAGAAACGTCTTTGCGATGTTTGCATTCAACTCATAGAGTTGAACATTCCGTTTCAGAGAGCAGCTTTGAGGCACTCTTTTTGTAGTATGTGCAAGTGGATATTTGGAGCGCTCTGAGGCCTACGGTGAAAAAGCAAATATCTTCCTATAACCACTAACAGAAACATTCTCAGAAACTCCTTTATGACGTATGCACTCACCTAACAGAAAAGAACCTTCCTTTTGACAGAGCAGTTTTGATACACTCTTTTTCTAGAATCTGCAAGAGGATATTTGGATAGCTGTGAAGATTTCGTTGGAAACGGGAATATCTTCCTATAAAATCTAGACAGAAAGCATTCTCAGAAACTGCTCTGTGATGTCTGCATTCAAGTCACAGAGTTGAACATTGCCTTTCGTAGAGCAGGTTTGAAACGCTCTTTTTGTAGTATATGGAAGTGGACGTTTCGGACGGTTTGAGGCCCATGGTGATAAAGGGAATATCTTCCCCTACAAGCTAGAAAGAAGCATTCTGTGAAACTTGTTTGTGATGTGTGTACTCAACTAACAGAGTTGAACCTTTCTTTTTGCAGAGCAGTTTTGAAACACTCTTTTTGTAGAATCTGCGAGGGGAAATTTGGATAGATTTCAGGATTTCGTTGGAAACGGGAATATCTTCATACAAAATCTCGACAGAAGCATTCTCAGAAACTTCTTTATGATATCTGCATTCAAGTCACAGAGTTGAATATTCCCTTTCACAGAGTAGGTTTGAAACACTCTTTTTATAGTATCTGGAAGTGGACATTTGGAGCGCCTTGACCCCTACGGTGAAAAGGGAAATATCTTCCCATAAAAACTAGACAGAAGCAATCTCAGAATTTTCTTTGGGATATATGCACACAGCTAACAGAGTTGAACTTTTCTATTGACATAGCAGTTTTGAAACAGTCTTTCTGTGGAATCTGCAAGTGGATATTTGGATAGCTTGGAGGATTTCGTTGGAAATGGGATTACGTATAAAAAGTAGACAGCAGCATCCTCAGAAACTTCTTTGTGATGTGTGCATTCAAGTCACAGAGTTGAACATTCCCTTTCGTGCAGCAGTTTTGAAACACTCTTTCTGTAGTAACTGGAAGTGAACATTAGGACAGCTTTCAGGTCTATGGTGAGAAAGGAAATATCTTCAAATAAAAACTAGACAGAAGCATTCTCATAAACTTGTTTGTGATGTGTGAACTCAGCTAAGAGAGGTGGATCTTTCTTTTGATAGAACAGTTCTGAAAAACACTTTTTGTTGAATCTGCAAGTGGACATTTGGATAGATTTGAAGATTTCGTTGGAAACGGGAATATCTTCATATCAAATCTAGACAGAAGCATTCTCAGAAACGTCTTTGCGATGTTTGCATTCAACTCATAGAGTTGAACATTCCGTTTCAGAGAGCAGCTTTGAGGCACTCTTTTTGTAGTATGTGCAAGTGGATATTTGGAGCGCTCTGAGGCCTAAGGTGAAAAAGCAAATATCTTCCCATAACCACTAGACAGAAACATTCTCAGAAACTCCTTTATGACGTATGCACTCACCTAACAGAGAAGAACCTTCCTTTTGACAGAGCAGTTTTGATACACTCTTTTTGTAGAATCTGCAAGTGGATATTTGGATAGCTGTGAAGATTTCGTTGGAAACGGGAATATCTTCCTATAAAATGCTAGACAGAAGCATTCTCCGAAACTGCTCTGAGATGTCTGCATTCAAGTCACAGAGTTGAACATTGCCTTTCATAGAGCAGGTTTCAAACACTCTTTTTTTAGTATATGGAAGTGGATGTTTCGGACGGTTTGAGGACCATGGTGATAAAGGAAATATCTTCCCCTACATGCTAGAAAGAAGCATTCTGTGAAACTTGTTTGTGATGTGTGTACTCAACTAACAGAGTTGAACCTTTCTTTTTACAGAGCAGTTTTGAAACACTCTTTTTGTAGAATCTGCGTGGGGATATTTGGATAGATTTCAGGATTTCGTTGGAAACGGGAATATCTTCATATAAAATCTCGACAGAAGCATTCTCAGAAACTTCTTTGTGATATGTGCATTCAAGTCACAGAGTTGAATATTCCCTTTCACAGAGTAGGTTTGAAACACTCTTTTTGTAGTATCTGGAAGTGGACATTTGGAGCGCCTTGACGCCTACGGTGAAAAGGGAAATATCTTCCCATGAAAACTAGACAGAAGCAATCTCAGAATCTTCTTTGGGATATATGCACGCAGCTAACAGAGTTGAACCTTTCTATTGACAGAGCAGTTTTGAAACAGTCTTTCTGTGGAATCTGCAAGTGGATATTTGGATAGCTTGGAGGATTTCGTTGGAAACGGGATTACGTATAAAAAGTAGAAAGCCAGCATCCTCAGAAACTTCTTTGTGATGTGTGCATTCAAGTCACAGAGTTGAACATTCCTTTTCGTACAGCAGTTTTGAAACACTCTTTCTGTAGTATCTGGAAGTGAACATTAGGACAGCTTTCAGCTCTATGGTGAGAAAGGAAATATCTTCAAATAAAAACTAGACAGAGCATTCTCCTAAACTTGTTTGTGATGTGTGAACTCAGCTAACAGACGTGGATCTTTCTTTTGATACAGCAGTTTTGAAAAACACATTTTGTTGAATCTGCAAGTGGACATTTGGATAGATTTGAAGATTTCGTTGGAAACGGGAATATCTTCATATCAAATCTAGACAGAAGCATTCTCAGAAACGTCTTTGCGATGTTTGCATTCAACTCATAGAGTTGAACATTCCGTTTCAGAGAGCAGCTTTGAGGCACTCTTTTTGTAGTATGTGCAAGTGGATATTTGGAGCGCTCTGAGGCCTACGGTGAAAAAGCAAATATCTTTCCATAACCACTAGACAGAAACATTCTCAGAAACTTCTTTATGACGTATGTACTCAACTAGCAGAGAAGAACTTTCCTTTTGACAGAGCATTTTTGATACACTCTTTTTGTAGTATCTGCAAGTGGATATTTGGATAGCTGTGAAGATATCGTTGGAAACGGGAATATCTTCCTATAAAGTCTGGACAGAAGCATTCTCAGAAACTGCTCTGTGATGTCTGCATTCAAGTCACAGAGTTGAACATTGCCTTTCATAGAGCAGGTTTGAAACACTCTTTTTGTAGTATTTGGAAGTGGACGTTTCGGACGGTTTGAGGCCCATGGTGATAAAGGGAATATCTTCCCCTACAAGCTAGAAAGAAGCATTCTGTGAAACTTGTTTGTGATGTGTGTACTCAACTAACAGAGTTGAACCTTTCTTTTCACAGAGCAGTTTTGAAACACTCTTTTTGTAGAATCTGCGAGGGGATATTTCGATAGATTTCAGCATTTCGTTGGAAACGGGAATATCTTCATATAAAATCTCGACAGAAGCATTCTCAGAAACTTCTTTGTGATATGTGCATTCAGGTCACAGAGTTGAATATTCCCTTTCACAGAGTAGGTTTGAAACACTCTTTTTGTAGTATCTGGAAGTGGACATTTGGAGCGCCTTGACACCTACGGTGAAAAGGGAAATATCTTCCCATAAAAACTAGACAGAAGCAATCTCAGAATCTTCTTTGGGATATATGCACGCAGCTAACAGAGTTGAACCTTTCTATTGACTGAGCAGATTTGAAACAGTCTTTCTGTGGAATCTGCAAGTGGATATTTGGATAGATTGGTGGATTTCGTTGGAAACGGGATTACGTATAAAAAGTAGACAGCAGCATCCTCAGAAACTTCTTTGTGATGTGTGCATTCAAGTCACAGAGTTGAACATTCCCTTTCGTACAGCAGTTTTGAAACACTCTTTCTGTAGTATCTGGAAGTGAACATTAGGACAGCTTTCAGGTCTATGGTGAGAAAGGAAATATCTTCAAATAAAAACTAGACAGAAGCATTTTCATAAACTTGTTTGTGATGTGTGAACTCAGCTAACAGAGGTGGATCTTTCTTTTGATAGAGCAGTTCTGAAAAACACTTTTTGTTGAATCTGCAAGTGGACATTTGGATAGCTTTGAAGATTTCGTTGGAAACGGGAATATCTTCATATCAAATCTAGACAGAAGCATTCTCAGAAACGTCTTTGTGATGTTCGCATTCAACTCATAGAGTTGAACATTCCGTTTCAGAGAGCAGGTTTGAAGCACTCTTTTTGTAGTATGTGCAAGTGGATATTTGGAGCGCTCTGAGGCCTACGGTGAAAAAGCAAATATCTTCCCATAACCACTAGACAGAAACATTCTCAGAAACTCCTTTATGACGTATGTACTCAACTAACAGAGAAGAACCTTCCTTTTGACAGAGCAGTTTTGATACACTCTTTTTGTAGAATCTGCAAGTGGATATTTGGATAGCTGTGAAGATTTCGTTGGATACGGGAATATCTTCCTATAAAATCTAGACAGAAGCATTCTCAGAACCTGCTCTTTGATGTCTGCATTCAAGTCACAGAGTTGAACATTGCCTTTCCTAGAGCAGGTTTGAAACGCTCTTTTTGTAGTATATGGAAGTGGACGTTTCGGACGGTTTGAGGCCCATGGTGATAAAGGGAATATCTTCCCCTACAAGCTAGAAAGAAGCATTCTGTGAAACTTGTTTGTGATGTGTGTACTCAACTAACAGAGTTGAACCTTTCTTTTTACAGAGCAGTTTTGAAACACTCTTTTTGTAGAATCTGCGAGGGGATATTTGAATAGATTTCAGGATTTCGTTGGAAACGGGAATATCTTCATAGAAAATCTCGACAGAAGCATTCTCAGAAACTTCTTTGTGATATCTCCCTTTAAGTCACAGAGTTGAATATTCCCTTTCACAGAGTAGGTTTGAAACACTCTTTTTGTAGTATCTGGAAGTGGACATTTGGAGCGCCTTGACACCTACGGTGAAAAGGGAAATATCTTCCCATAAAAACTAGACAGAAGCAATCTCAGAATCTTCTTTGGGATATATGCACGCAGCTAACAGAGTTGAACCTTTCTATTGACAGAGCAGTTTTGAAACAGTCTTACTGTGGAATCTGCAAGTGGATATTTGGATAGCTTGGAGGATATCTTTGGAAACGGGATTACGTATAAAAAGTAGACAGCAGCATCCTCAGAAACTTCTTTGTGATGTGTGCATTCAAGTCACAGAGTTGAACATTCCCTTTCGTACAGCAGTTTTGAAACACTCTTTCTGTAGTATCTGGAAGTGAACATTAGGACAGCTTTCAGCTCTATGGTGAGAAAGGAAATATCTTCAAATAAAAACTAGACAGAAGCATTCTCATAAACTTGTTTGTGAGGTGTGAACTCAGCTAACAGAGGTGGATCTTACTTTTGATAGAGCAGTTCTGAAAAACACTTTTTGTTGAATCTGCAAGTGGACATTTGGATACATTTGAAGATTTCGTTGGAAACGGGAATATCTTCATATCAAATCTAGACAGAAGCATTCTCAGAAACGTCTTTGCGATGTTTGCATTCAACTCATAGAGTTGCACATTCCGTTTCAGAGAGCAGCTTTGAGGCACTCTTTTTGTAGTATGTGCAAGTGGATATTTGGAGCCCTCTGAGGCCTACGGTGAAAAAGCAAATATCTTCCCATAACCACTAGACAGAAAACATTCTCAGAAACTCCTTTATGACGTATGCACTCACCTAACAGAGAAGAACCTTCCTTTTGACAGAGCAGTTTTGATACACTCTTTTTGTAGAATCTGCAAGTGGATATTTGGATACCTGTGAAGATTTCGTTGGAAACGGGAATATCTTCCTATAAAATCTAGACAGAAGCATTCTCAGAAACTGCTCTGTGATGTCTGCATTCAAGTCACAGAGTTGAACATTGCCTTTCATAGAGCAGGTTTGAAACGCTCTTTTTGTACTATATGGAAGTAGACGTTTCGGACGGTTTGAGGCCCATGGTGATAAAGGGAATATCTTCCCCTGCAAGCTAGAAAGAAGCATTCTGTGAAACTTGTTTGTGATGTGTGTACTTAACTAACAGAGTTGAACCTTTCTTTTTACAGAGCAGTGTTGAAACACTCTTTTTGTAGAATCTGCGAGGGGATATTTGGATAGATTTCAGGATTTCGTTGGAAACGGGAATATCTTCATATAAAATCTCGACAGAAGCATTCTCAGAAACTTCTTTGTGATATCTGCATTCAAGTCACAGAGTTGAATATTCCCTTCCACAGAGTAGGTTTGAAACACTCTTTTTGTAGTATCTGGAAGTGGACATTTGGAGCGCCTTGACGCCTACGGTGAAAAGGGAAATATCTTCCCATAAAAACTAGACAGAAGCAATCTCAGAATCTTCTTTGGGATATATGCACGCAGCTAACAGAGTTGAACCTTTCTATTGACAGAGCAGTTTTGAAACAGTCTTTCTGTGGAATCTGCAAGTGGATATTTGGATAGCTTGGAGGATTTCGTTGGAAACGGGATTAAGTATAAAAAGTATACAGCAGCATCCTCAGAAACTTCTTTGTGATGTGTGCATTCAAGTCACAGAGTTGAACATTCCCTTTCGTACAGCAGTTTTGAAACACTCTTTCTGTAGTATCTGGAAGTGAATATTAGGACAGCTTTCAGCTCTATGGTGAGAAAGGAAATATCTTCAAATAAAAACTAGACAGAAGCATTCTGATAAACTTGTTTGTGAAGTGTGAACTCAGCTAACAGAGGTGGATCTTTCTTTTGATAGAGCAGTTCTGAAAAACACTTTGTTGAATCTGCAAGTGGATATTTGGATAGATTTGAAGATTTCGTTGGAAACGGGAATATCTTCATATCAAATCTAGACAGAAGCATTCTCAGAAACGTCTTTGTGATGTTTGCATTCAACTCATAGAGTTGAACATTCCCTTCCAGAGAGTAGCTTTGAAGCACTCTTTTTGTAGCATGTGCAAGTGGACATTTGGAGCGCCCTGAGGCCTACGGGGAAAAAGAAAATATCTTCCCATAACCACTAGACAGAAACATTCTCAGAAACTCCTTTATGACGTATGCACTCAACTAACAGAAAAGAACCTTCCTTTTGACAGAGCAGTTTTGATACACTCTTTTTGTAGAATCTGCAAGTGGATATTAGGATAGCTGTGAAGATTTCGTTGGAAACGGGAATATCTTCCTATAAAATCTAGACAGAAGCATTCTCAGAAACTGCTCTGTGATGTCTGCATTCAAGTCACAGAGTTGAACATTGCCTTTCATAGAGCAGGTTTGAAACGCTCTTTTTGTAGTATATGGAAGTGGATGTTTCGGACGGTTGGAGGCCCATGGTGATAAAGGGAATATCTTCCCCTACAAGCTAGAAAGAAGCATTCTGTGAAACTTGTTTGTGATGTGTGTACTCAACTAACAGAGTTGAACCTTTCTTTTTACAGAGCAGTTTTGAAACACTCTTTTTGTAGAATCTGCGAGGGGATATTTGGATAGATTTCAGGATTTCGTTGGAAACGGAAATATCTTTATATAAAATCTCGACAGAAGCATTCTCAGAAACTTCTTTGTGATATGTGCATTCAAGTCACAGAGTTGAATATTCCCTTTCACAGAGTAGGTTTGAAACACTCTTTTTGTAGTATCTGGAAGTGGACATTTGGAGCGCCTTGACGCCTATGGTGAAAAGGGAAATATCTTCCCATAAAAACTAGACAGAAGCAATCTCAGAATCTTCTTTGGGATATATGCACGCAGCTAACAGAGTTGAACCTTTCTATTGACAGAGCAGTTTTGAAACAGTCTTTCTGTGGAAACTGCAAGTGGATATTTGGATAGCTTGGAGGATTTCGTTGGAAACGGGATTACGTATAAAAAGTAGACAGCAGCATCCTCAGAAACATCCTTGTGATGTGTGCATTCACGTCACAGAGTTGAACATTCCCTTTCGTACAGCAGTTTTGAAACACTGTTTCTGTAGTATCTGGAAGTGAACTTTAGGACAGCTTTCAGGTCTATAGTGAGAAAGGATATATCTTCAAATAAAAACTAGACAGAAGCATTCTGATAAACTTGTTTGTGAAGTGTGATCTCAGCTAACAGAGGTGGATCTTTCTTTTGATAGAGCAGTTCTGAAAAACACTTTGTTGAATCTGCAAGTGGACATTTGGATAGATTTCAAGATTTCGTTGGAAACGGGAATATCTTCATATCAAATCTAGACAGAAGCATTCTCAGAAACGTCTTTGTGATGTTTGCATTCAATTCATAGAGTTGAACATTCCGTTTCAGAGAGCAGCTTTGAGGCACTCTTTTTGTAGTATGTGCAAGTGGATATTTGGAGCGCTCTGAGGCCTAAGGTGAAAAAGCAAATATCTTCCCATAACCACTAGACAGAAACATTCTCAGAAACTTCTTTATGACGTAAGTACTCAACTAAAACAGAAGAACCTTCCTTTTGACAGAGCAGTTTTGATACACTCCATTGGAGAATCTGCAAGTGGATATTTGGATAGCTGTGAAGATTTCGTTGGAAACGGGAATACCTTCCTATAAAGTCTAGACAGAAGCATTCTCAGAAACTGCTCTGTGATGTCTGCATTCAAGTCACAGAGTTGAACATTGCCTTTCGTAGAGCAGGTTTGAAACGCTCTTTTTGTAGTATATGGAAGTGGATGTTTCGGACGGTTGGAGGCCCATGGTGATAAAGGGAATATCTTCCCCTACAAGCTAGAAAGAAGCATTCTGTGAAACTTGTTTGTGATGAGTGTACTCAACTAACAGAGTTGAACCTTTCTTTTTACAGAGCAGTTTTGAAACACTCTTTTTGTAGAATCTGCGAGGGGATATTTGGATACATTTCAGGATTTCGTTGGAAACGGGAATATCTTCATATAAAATCTCGACAGAAGCATCCTCAGAAACTTCTTTGTGATGTGTGCATTCAAGTCACAGAGTTGAATATTCCCTTTCACAGAGTAGGTTTGAAACACTCTTTTTGTAGTATCTGGAAGTGGACATTTGGAGCGCCTTGACACCTACGGTGAAGAGGGAAATATCTTCCCATAAAAACTAGACAGAAGCAATCTCAGAATCTTCTTTGGGATATATGCACGCAGCTAACAGAGTTGAACCTTTCTATTGACAGAGCAGTTTTGAAACAGTCTTTCTGTGGAATCTGCAAGTGGATATTTGGATAGCTTGGAGGATTTCGTTGGAAACGGGATTACGTATAAAAAGTAGACAGCAGCATCCTCAGAAACTTCTTTGTGATGTGTGCATTCAAGTCACAGAGTTGAACATTCCCTTTCGTACAGCAGTATTGAATCACTCTTTCTGTAGTATCTGGAAGTGAACATTAGGACAGCTTTCAGGTCTATGGTGAGAAAGGAAATATCTTCAAATAAAAACTAGACAGAAGCATTCTCATAAACTTGTTTGTGATGTGTGAACTCAGCTAACAGAGGTGGATCTTTCTTTTGATAGAGCAGTTCTGAAAAACACTTTTTGTTGAATCTGCAAGTGGACATTTGGATAGATTTGAAGATTTCGTTGGAAACGGGAATATCTTCATATCAAATCTAGACAGAAGCATTCTCAGAAACGTCTTTGTGATGTTTGCATTCAACCCATAGAGTTGAACATTCCCTTTCAGAGAGCAGCTTTGAAGCACTCTTTTTGTAGTATGTGCAAGGGGATATTTGGAGCGCTCTGAGGCCTAAGGTGAAAAAGCAAATATCTTCCCATAACCACTAGACAGAAACATTCTCAGAAACTCCTTTATGACGTATGCACTCACCTAACAGAGAAGAACCTTCCTTTTGACAGAGCAGTTTTGATACACTCTTTTTGTAGAATCTGCAAGTGGATATTTGGATAGCTGTGAAGATTTCGTTGGAAACGGGAATATCTTCCTATAAAATCTAGACAGAAGCATTCTCAGAAACTGCTCTGTGATGTCTGCATTCAAGTCACAGAGTTGAACATTGCCTTTCATAGAGCAGCTTTGAAACGCTCTTTTTGTAGTATATGGAAGTGGACGTTTCAGACGGTTTGAGGCCCATGGTGATAAAGGGAATATCTTCCCCTACAAGCTAGAAAGAAGCATTCTGTGAAACTTGTTTGTGATGTGTGTACTCAACTAACAGAGTTGAACCTTTCTTTTTACAGAGCACTTTTGAAACACTCTTTTTGTAGAATCTGCGAGGGGATATTTGGATACATTTCAGCATTTCGTTGGAAACGGGAATATCTTCATATAAAATCTCGACAGAAGCATTCTCAGAAACTTCTTTGTGATATCTGCATTCAAGTCACAGAGTTGAATATTCCCTTTCACAGAGTAGGTTTGAAACACTCTTTTTGTAGTATCTGGAAGTGGACATTTGGAGCGCCTTAACACCTACGGTGAAAAGAGAAATATCTTCCCATAAAAACTAGACAGAAGCAATCTCAGAATCTTCTTTGGGATATATGCACGCAAGCTAACAGAGTTGAACCTTTCTATTGACAGAGCAGTTTTGAAACAGTCTTTCTGTGGAATCTGCAAGTGGATATTTGGATAGCTTGGAGGATTTCGTTGGAAAAGGGATTACGTATAAAAAGTAGACAGCAGCATCCTCAGTAAACTTCTTTGTGATGTGTGCATTCAAGTCACATAGTTGAACATTCCCTTTCGTACAGCAGTTTTGAAACACTCTTTCTGTAGTATCTGGAAGTGAACATTAGGACAGCTTTCAGCTCTATGGTGAGAAAGGAAATATCTTCAAATAAAAACTAGACAGAAGCATTCTCATAAACTTGTTTGTGATGTGTGAACTCAGCTAACAGAGGTGGATCTTTCTTTTGATAGAGCAGTTCTGAAAAACACTTTTTGTTGAATCTGCAAGTGGACATTTGGATAGATTTGAAGATTTCGTTGGAAACGGGAATATCTTCATATCAAATCTATACAGAAGCATTCCCAGAAACGTCTTTGTGATGTTTGCATTCAACTCATAGAGTTGAACATTCCGTTTCAGAGAGCAGCTTTGAAGCACTCTTTTTGTAGCATGTGCAAGGGGATATTTGGAGAGCTCTGAGGCCTACGGTGAAAAAGCAAATATCTTCCCATAACCACTAGACAGAAACATTCTCAGAAACTCCTTTATGACGTATGTACTCAACTAACAGAGAAGAACCTTCCTTTTGACAGAGCAGTTTTGATACACTCTTTTTGTAGAATCTGCAAGTGGATATTTGGATAGCTGTGAAGATTTCGTTGGAAACGGGAATATCTTCCTATAAAATCTAGACAGAAGCATTCTCATAAACTGCTCTGTGATGTCTGCATTCAAGTCACAGAGTTGAACATTGCCTTTCATAGAGCAGGTTTGAAACGCTCTTTTTGTAGTATATGGAAGTAGACGTTTTGGACGGTTTGAGGCCCATGGTGATAAAGGGAATATCTTCCCCTACAAGCTAGAAAGAAGCATTCTGTGAAACTTGTTTGTGATGTGTGTACTCAACTAACAGAGTTGAACCTTTCTTTTTACAGAGCAGTTTTGAAACACTCTTTTTGTAGAATCTGCGAGGGGATATTTGGATAGATTTCAGGATTTCGTTGGAAACGGGAATATCTTCATATAAAATCTCGACAGAAGCATTCTCAGAAACTTCTTTGTGATATCTGCCTTCAAGTCACAGAGTTGAATATTCCCTTTCACAGAGTAGGTTTGAAACACTCTTTTTGTAGTATCTGGAAGTGGACATTTGGAACGCCTTGGCGCCTACGGTGAAAAGGTAAATATCTTCCCATAAAAACTAGACAGAAGCAATCTCAGAATCTTCTTTGGGATATATGCACGCAGCTAATAGAGTTGAACCTTTCTATTGACAGAGCAGTTTTGAAACAGTCTTTCTGTGGAATCTGCAAGTGGATATTTGGATAGCTTGGGGGATTTCGTTGGAAACGGGATTACGTATAAAAAGTAGACAGCAGCATCCTCAGAATCTTCCTTGTGATGTGTGCTTTCAAGTCACAGAGTTGAACATTCCCTTTCGTACAGCAGTTTTGAAAAACTCTTTCTGTAGTATCTGGAAGTGAACTTTAGGAGAGCTTTCAGGTCTATAGTGAGAAAGGATATATCTTCAAATAAAAACTAGACAGAAGCATTCTCATAAACTTGTTCGTGATGTGTGAACTCAGCTAACACACGTGGATCTTTCTTTTGATAGAGCAGTTCTGAAAAACACTTTGTTGAATCTGCAAGTGGACATTTGGATAGATTTGAAGATTTCGTTGGAAACGGGAATATCTTCATATCAAATCAAGACAGA